>NC_000022.11:35982291-36133806 GCF_000001405.40 Homo sapiens | reverse complement strand
TGACAGATGTGGGTGTCCTAATCATAGGACTTGTGATTATGTCACCTTCCATCATAAAAGGGACCTCACAGGTGTGATCCAGTCAAGGATCTGGAGATGAGAGGTTATCTGCGATTATCTGGGTGGGCCCAAGGTATCCACAAGGGTCCTTATAAGGCGGAGACAGTAGGGTGAGAGGGAGAAAAGGAGATGAGATGATAGAAGGGGAGAGAAACTGAGAGAGATCAGAGGATGCTACAAGGCTGGCTTGAAGACGAAGGGAGAAGCCAGGAGCTGAGGACAGCAGGTGCCTCTAAAAGCTGGAAAAGGTAAGGGAATTGCTTCTCCCAGAGCCTCCCCAAGGAATGCAGCTCTACCCATGCCTTGATTTTAGAACTCTACTGGAAGAGAACAACTTTGTGTTGGTTCAAGTCACTGTGTCTGTAGGGCTTTGTTACAGCAGGAGAGGTACTAGCACACCACTCTGTCCCCATCAGGGCCCTCATGTGCGCTTAGAAGATCTAGTGAGGATGAAATTCATCATGTAACCAGAAACCTATAGAAACGGTTTCTGAATTTGTTTTTCATAGGAGAGTCAGCCAAAAATATCAACAGCCACAATTTATTGGACGCCTTCAGGAGAAATGTCAAAGGCCTTTGTCCAAAGTGAGTGGTCCTGCTTCATGTCCCAGCATTCCTTGTCCCCTTTCCACAAGCTGAGAGCAGGTGCTCCCCAGAATGAGGGGGGTGAGAAGGGTTCACTATTGCTCTGTCCACCTCTCAACACAAAACATGATTCTACCTGTACCAATTATCCTGAGGCTTTGTGGTCTGCAACCAACCCTTTGGTGCCAATTTTTCTATTAGGTAGGACCCTTTGGATGCAAGTAGAACATAGCAAAGCAAAACCAAGACAAAAGCAAATGCAAAAACAAAAACAAATGAAAAATCTTAAAAAATCTTCCCGCTACCTCAAGAGTGGAGGCATATATTTGAATGATCCAGAGAGAAAGCTCACAGAATTAAAGAAATCCTTGGGTGGGTGGGCGTGCGTGCACATTTTTTAAAAACAGGCTTAGGGAAGACCAGGGACCCAGAAAGCCTCAGGGCTCTCAGCGGTAGGGAACGAGCTACACTCAAGGCCTCAGCTCCACTGCCTGCTGCCTCCAAGGGTTTTCTTTCAGGTCCTCCAATTTCCAGGGGAGAGACTCAGATGGGTCCCGGGGGCTAGAGGACAGAGTAAAGAAGGCACTGTCACACCAGGGGGATGTGAGCTGAGCAGGCAGGCCCCCTAACCTGGGCCTTTTCGGAAGCCCCCTCCTCATCCCCGTGGGAGCAGTGGGGGAAAGGGGCCTCTGCCCCCTGCCCACCTCCCTTACTAGTGTCTCCCTAGCTGCTCCCTGCAGAGCCTAGGCTCTGCAGTCATGGGGTCCGCATTGTCCTGGTGGGTGGAGTGCCTGAGCCTCAAAAGCCCCACCTGTGCTTTTCACTCCCTACTGCATGATTGAGAAGCAGACCTACTTCGCGATTGAGAAGCAGATTAAGGCTTTCCCCTTCCCCATCAAGGTATCTTTTTTTCTTCCTTCTTTCTTCCTCAGACCCCATCTGGTGTCCCTTCTCTCCTCCTCTCCCGCTCCATTCACCTGCCCTCTGTCTCAGGTCTCTCTACCAGCGTCTGGCAGCTGGGGAGGCTGGTGGGCTGCCCTGGTCCCATGGCTGATTGGAAAAATCCTGTGGCTCCAGGGAGCCGGCTTTTTAGATGCTGGTGGGGAGGAGCCTCACCTCGCTTCCAGGCCTGCGTTTCACCCCAGGACTCATTAGGAGAATTTCTGCACCAGGGTTAGAAGAGAATTCATCGCATGTTTTCCCTACTGTAATAAGCGAGACCCTTCTTTCTTTCCTTGTGCCTGGCGACCACAGCAGGAAGGCAGGAAGGTGCCTGCAGATTCCCAGGAACAAAGCTGCTCCCAGAACCCTCACATAGTAGGGTGACTCTTAGGATAAGAAATGTATATCCACGGGCTAGGATTTGGGAACCAAGGGACGACGTGGCAATCCAGGGCTCGTAGTGAGGGTGCAGCAGCCAGGACTGGGGCAAAGACAGATGTCTGATGATTGTAAAATGAGATGATTTCTATTCAGTTCAGTTCTATGTGAGGCTGTACTCAAAAGAGGTGATGTTGTTATTCAGGCTTCCTAATCTTTGGTGAGTAAAACAATTGTTGATTCCCACAGCTTGTTTTCTTCTTGCCAGCTTTCTCCCATCGTGTGATAGACCAAAACCTTGAACTGGAAAATCTCTGTGGTGTTCTACAAGAGCTAGGGACCCTTAGGTGTGAGATTTGGAGACTTTCAATGGTTAGACTTGGCCTAAGCAGCAATAGATCAGTCACCCCAAATTCTCTCCTTTGTCTTCTTTTAATGTCGTCCTCCATCAAGGAAGGAACCAGATTGGGGCCAACCTTTCAGACGGATGTCCATGGGATGCTCGAGCTGCCTTTCCCCAACAAGTGGTGTCAACAGGGATCTGGAGAGGTCGTGTGCTGGCCTCCAGGGGGTACCCCAGGGAACGGTGGGATGTGAGAGTGACAGACCAGGAGGATGGGGGCCTTTATCAGTCAAGTGCTGTTCTGTCCCCACCATCCTTTAGCTGGTGAATAATCTCAGGGGGATTATTAAAAGCCCAGAAGCAAAGAAGCATTTGAAAGGTCCGTATCTAGGAGTCTGGTTTCTCAGAGGATCAGGGAGGGATAAGATTGGCTAAAAGACAGATTTGGGACTTACTATCAGAAAAGAATCACTAGGAAAATCTAATATTGGTACATGGAAAAGCAACATGTGGATTGAATGATGGGATTTCCTGTGAAGAAAAGGTAAGGCATGCAAGCCAGACAGGACAGAATGATGGGCGAAAATCAAGCCACGCACCTCAAACTCCTCTCGAGCTGAGATCCAGAAAGACAGGGGCATGGAATTGCTGCTGGGTCTGGCAGGGGGCAAGAGCCAAACAGATGAAGGGTACATGTGACTGCCATTCAGGGCCACGATAGAGGAAATGATCAGAAGTCACTTTCTAGAGGCTGTAGATGGGAGTTTGATAAGGACCATGGGGGACAGCTGAGATCTGGGCAGATTTGAGAAGGGAGAGCAGAACAGACTGCGTCAAAAGTGGATCCGTGAGTTTCCTGGCGACCCAGGTATAGAAGGGATGCAGGAGTGGCCTGTACTTTCAGAAGCACATGCAGGAGGATGCTGGTCTGGGACTGGAGATGAAAGAGGTCCAGAGAAAATGGGACACGCTCAGACAGGGGAGCTGTGGGTGGAGTTCAGGACAAAGTCTGATGTAAGGCTCATGGAAGACCTTCCTGAAGGAATTGCCCCTCTCCAGGAAGTAAGGAGGGTGGATTTGTTTCCACAGTGGGAATTCCTGGCAGGTCCAGAACTTCTTGACTTTCTGTCTCTCAATACTGTAGACCTGCAAGATGGATAACAGAGGCATTAGGGAAACTGATGCCTACGCCACAAAGTTTAAATACAGCACAAGGAAAGAAGCTACTTTGATCCAGAAAACACTGCTAACCCCATCCAAGACTGAGATGGAGCAGGGCCCTATGGGGTGAGATAAGCGTCTGAGGAGCAGGCTGCAGGGAGGAATGTTCCAGCTGCCACTGAAGCAACACACGAGGCTGAGGCTTGAAAGCTCAAAGGCCGAGGGAGCCGTAGCTTTGGGAAGGAGCAGCTGATGGGGACGATGGGTCACCTAAGCCGAGCTGTACCCTCGTCTGCTCCACCTCGAGTTTGAATTCAACAAGTCTATTGCTCCAGTGTTTTCTGAATTATCTGCATATTCAGAATTCAGCCTGCGGAGCCTCAGCTCTTCTGAATATTTAAATGACGCTCAGTTGCGATCTGCATCTCTCATCATGGTGTCTGACCCAAAGATCACAAAGCTGAAGTCTAGCAAATGACAGGAAGAACTAAGAGAAAGTGCTGCTGCAAAAAGAGTTTAATGAGAGGTAAATGGGAGGGAATGTTGGCCGGAGACCACAGAATGGAAGTGGAGAAACAGATGATTCATTCATTCATCCAATCATTCATTTATGAAGCACTCATTGACACCCCTTCTTCTTCGTGCCTTGCACTCACTGAGATCTATAACAAAGATGAGTCAGAGTCCTGTCCTGTGTGGAGCTCAAAGTCAAGATGGGGCACACACACAGATGACAATGCCATGGGACACAGGCTTCCAGTCATGGCTTCTCCAAGTTCATCCTCCCCCTGTCCCAGCCTCTTCCTTGTGCTCTACTAATACTTTGAAATGTGCATAGCTTCCCCATACCCCCTACGATGCTCCTTCTCTGTGTCTCTATATGTGTCCTTGCCAATACCATCCCGCATACCTGGCCTTTCCAACCTTCCCCGTGAGTTCCCAGAGTCCGTTGTATCATTCTTTTTTTTTTTTTTTTTTTTGAGATGGAGTTTCACTGTTGTTGCCCAGGCAGGAGTGCAGTGGCGACTGGGAGTAAGACTTCGGGCCAGTGTGTCGTCCTGGAAACCCAAGCTGGTTCCCTGCAGGAAAGGAGGCTGGACAGTGGGTCATGGCTGGACTCGGGCTGTCCTCTGAGTTAGCCAGTGGAGCAGCGGAGCTGAGGTTGAGAATAGAACCAGCCAATTTATTTCCTCTATGTGATTTCTTTCTTTTTTTTTTTTTTTTGAGACAGAGTTTCGCTCTTGTTGCCCAGGCTTGAGTGCAGTGGCACGATCTTGGCTCACTGCAACCTTTGCCTCCCGGGTTCAAGCGATTCTCCTGCCTCAGCCTCCTGAGTAGCTGGGATTACAAGTGTGTGCCACCACGCCCGGCTAATTTTGTGCTTTTAGTAGAGACAGGGTTTCACCATGTTGGCCAGGCTGGTCTCAAACTCCTGACCTCAGGTGATCCACCCGCCTCTGCCTCCCAAAATGCTAAGATTACAGGCGTGAGCCACTGCGCCTGCCTGGCCTCTTCTGTGTGATTTCTGTTTCCCTTGAGAGTATGTGTTGGATACTAGAGGGAGGGTCTGGTTAGAGCTCAGTAACAGGGGTCCTTGGGTTGTTGGCGACCAGCATCACCAGAGGTGATAATAGCTGGATCTCACTGGCCTGTGATCCTTGTGGGGTACGGAGGAGGATGGCTTCCCTCTCACCTCATCCTCAAAGTAAAGCCTTTAAAGAAAGAAGTATTGTCCCCATTTGACGAAGAAGAAACCGAGATGCAGGAGGTTTAGGTAACTTGTCCAAGGTAGAAAGCCTGGATCCAAACCCAGGTTTATCCGACGGCTCTTTTGGAGTCCTTGTTCCCCTGAGGAATGGAGGGAGAGGTGGGAGAGTGAAGATTCTCCAGGCTCAGCATGGGTTCCCAGACTACTTGGGGTATGGCCAGGTGACCTCAGAAGGCAGCAGCCGTGGGCCACGTGCATTTCTCTGGGCACTTTGGAGGAAGCAAAGGAGGTAGAGGTCAGACATGGAAGACTGGAGACCTGGCCCTTTGTCCCAGTGACCTGGTGCCATGGGAATGGACTTGGGTGGCATCATTAATGTGATGTGGGTTAGAACCACCCCCAGGAATCTGCCCCCGTCTAGGCTACCCCTAGGATGCTGCTACTAAGGCCTGACAGGGGAAGAGGATTTTTTTTTTTTTTTTTGAGACAGAGTTTTGCTCTTGTTGCCTAGGCTGGAGTGCAATGGCGCGATCTCGGCTCACCACAACCTCCGCTTGCCAGGTTCAAGCGATTCTCCTGCCTCAGCCTCCTGAGTAGCTGGGATTACAGGCATGCACCACCATGCCCAGCTAATTTTGTATTTTTAGTAGAGACGGGGTTTCTCCATGATGGTCATGGATCTCCTGACGGGGATCTCCTGACCTCAGGTGATCCGCCTGCCTCAGCCTCCCAAAGTGCTGGGATTAAAGGCAAGAGCCACCGCGCCCGGCCACAGGAAGAGGATTTCTTTTGAGATACAAGAAGCCCAGAAATTGTTTCATCCACCTTGTCTCTGAGCACCTCCTCTTTCCTGCAGGGAAACTGAGGCTCTGAGAGAGGAGTGACTTGTCCAGGGTCCTGTGATGGGAGACTGAGCAGGTAAATTGCAGGACTCCACCTCTCTGGCCCTCTGTTCAGGCCTGTGAGGTGATGAGGGAAGAAAGGGACTGTGCTGTGTGTCCTGAAAGGGAAAGATGGCCCACACTGAGGGGGTTGTGTGGGCGCTGGGTTGGTGGGAAGGATACGTTGCAGAGTGGTGTTTGCAGCATGATCCCAGCTTTGCAATCATAAGATTAAAAGCCAAACTGTAGGGGACATGTTCTCAGGATCTCCTGGAGCTATGTCATGGGGAAAACAAATAGAAAATAAATTTTAAAAAAAGTAAAAGAGAGAAAGCCAAACTGTAGACATGTGAGTGTAACTTTGAGAGTGTGAGCTTAGACCTCTGTGTTTGTCGAAGCAGAGACAAGCCAGGCTGCTACCAGTGGTTGGGGACAATTAGTTGGGGATGGAATAGAATCCCATTTCCTACTTTAGAAACTTTGCGATTGGCCGGGCGCGGTGGCTCATGGCTGTAATCCCAGCACTTCCGGAGGCCAAGGCAAGAGGACTGCTTGAGCCCAGGAGTTTGAGACCAGCCTGGGCAACAACGTGAAACCCCATCTCTACAAAAAATACAAAAAATTAGCCAGGCATTGTGGCTCGTGACTGTGGTTCCAGCTACTGGGGAAGCTGAGGTGGGAGGCTCCCTTCAACCCGAGGAGGTAGAAGCTACAGTGAGCCATGATCACACTGCTGTTCTCTAGCCTTGGTGACAGAGTGAGGACTGAGACCCTGTCAAAAGAAAGAAAGAAAGAGAGAGAGGGGGAAAAAGAAAGAGAGAGAGAGAGAGAGAAAGAGAGGAAGGAAGGAGAGAGAGGGAGGAAGGGAAGAAGGAAGGAAGAAACAAAGGAAGGAAGGAAAGAAGGGAGGGAGGGAGGGCAAGGGAGGGAGGGAAGGAAGGGGAATGGAGGGAGAGAGGGAGGGAGGGAGGGAGGAAGGAAGGAAGGAAAGGAGGGAGAGGAAGGAAGGAAAGGAGGGAGAGGAAGGAAGGAAAGGAGGGAGAGGAAGGAAGAAAAGGAGGGAGAGGAAGGAAGAAAAGGAGGGAGAGGAAGGGAGGAAAGGAGGGAGAGGAAGGAAGAAAAGGAGGGAGAGGAAGGAAGAAAAGGAGGGAGAGGAAGGAAGAAAAGGAGGGAGAGGAAGGAAGAAAAGGAGGGAGAGGAAGGAAGAAAAGGAGGGAGAGGAAGGAAGAAAAGGAGGGAGAGGAAGGAAGAAAAGGAGGGAGAGGAAGGAATGAAAGGAGGGAGAGGAAGGGAGGAAAGGAGGGAGAGGAAGGGAGGAAAGGAGGGAGAGGAAGGAAGGAAAGGAGGGAGAGGGAGGAAGGAAAGGAGGGAGAGGGAGGAAGGGAGGGAGGGAGGGAGGAAGGAAACAACTTTGGGATTTTTAAAATCACATTTTTTTTTCTTAAATCTCAGAGTGGGAATGAGACTGAGTTGGAGTGGAGTTGGCCTCCACTCTGTTTACTAAGAGCTGTGTGTCCCTAGGTAAGTCACTTTCCCTCTCTGGGCCTCAGGTTTTTTACCTGATAGATGGGCTTAGAGTCTCTTCTGCTGATCCCCCAGGGTTGCAGGCAGCCAGTGAGGTTCTGAGTACTGTAGAGGGGATGCTCTCAGCAGTAGTGGCGGTGGTAGGGAGTTGGGATTGCAAACCCAGAGGCCAGCAGAGGCCAGGCAGGAACTGGATTGAACTGGAAACTCAAGCTGTCCACTTGGGTCCAGTCAGGATGGATACTGATAGAAGTGGGGGTCTCATGTTGCCCACCTCATGTTTAAGAAGATTCTAGAATTATAGATTATTTGATGTGAAATTTCCTTAAATGTAAATGTTGGTAAATAAAGTAACTATTTAAACGATATACATGCAAACACACATTTGCACACACACGCCTTACACACAATGGCTGGTCAGATTTAGTGCATAGCCAGCCAGCTGGTTTTCTGCTTTGGAATTATAGGCTGCTAATTTTTTTATTTTTTCTAGACATGGTCTTGCTTTGTCACCCAGGCTGGAGTGCAGTGGCGTGAACACAGCTCATTGCAGCCTTGACCTCCTGAGCCCAAACAGTCCTCCCATCCCAGCCCAGCCCAGCAAATAACTGGGATGACTGGCATGTACCACCAAGACTCACTAATTGTTGTATGTTTGTAGAGACGGGGTTTCACCATGTTGCCCAGGCTGGTCTCAAACTCCAGAGCTCAGGTAATCCGCCTTCCTCGGCCTCCCAAAGTGCTGGAATTACAGGCATGAGCCACCGTGCTCTGCCTAATTGTATTTTATTATACTAAATGCAGTTTCTTTTGCCTTCTGTATCTTTTCAAACCCTGGGTGGTATTCCCCCAGCAAGAGTGAATTCTAGTTTACCTACTACCTATGCCTGTATGCTTACACTTTCACTGAATTTCTTTAAATTTTTAAATAATATTAGGAAGAAAATGGGGCTGATGAGCAGCTCTTGGGGCACTAGAGGCCTTCTGGGTAGCTGTCATGCCTTGAACGTTTCTTGAGCGTGCCTTCTCCAGCCTCCAGTGAGCACGAGGTCTGCATTGGCAAACAGATGTCCACTGTCCTGGGGACAAGAAAGGTGTGAGTCCTCCATGGCAAACAGAGAAGGAAGGAGATGTCTCCTTTCCTGAATCAGCTTATTGGGATAAACAGGAAACCCACAGAGGCTTTCTCACCAAGGCCAGCGTGTTTAATAGGCCTGCATCTCACCTCTGAGGATCACAAAGTGTGTGAGCAGCGTCCCAGCAAGGAGACACCGATGCTCATGAGGATTCTGAAACCTCTGTTCGCTGTTAGGAAATGCTCTTGACCCATGAGTGTTCCTCTTTCAAGATCCTCCAGCATTGCCAACCCGTCCAGCAAGAAGGGGAGAGATCTCATAGCACGGGGGCTTGACTAAATTTGAGGAGTCGAGGAAGTGACGTTTCAGCTAAGACTTTTTTTTTCCTTTGAGACAGGATCTCGCTCTGTTGCCCAGGCTGGAGTGCAGTGGCTCAATCCTGGCTCACAGCAACCTCTGCCTCCCGGGTACAAGCGATTCTCCTACCTCAACCTCCCCAGTAGCTGGGAGTACAGGTGCCCGCCACCACGCCCAGCTAATTTTTGTATTTTTAGTAGAGACAAAGTTCCACCATGTTGGCCAGACTGGTCTCAAACTCCTGACCTCAAGTGATGCTCCCGCCTCGGCCTCCCTAAGTGCTGGGATTACAGGCGTAAGCCATTGCGCCCTGCCTCCGCTAAGTCTTCAAGATCGGCCAAGGGATGATGAAGAAGGTTGGGGAGAAGAGCGGGGATGAGGGGAGCCCAGCTGCAGGCCGCATATTCAAAGACTTGTGGCTGGGAGGGAGGTCCGGAGAAGAACTGAGTTCTAGAATCTGAAAGACGGCTAGCATGGGTCAGAATGGAAACTAACCAGACCACAGTGTCAGCCACTCAAGCTCCCCTAGCCAAGCCTCGTGCTGAATTTTGAGGGCTGCAGTAGAAAAGCGGGCGCACTGCGAGCCCTGCGTGTTGCCAACAGCCTCGGCAGAGCCAGGAGGTGGCGCTGTCGGCACACGCATCGTGCTGTCGGCGCTGCGCAGCCGCAGCCCGGGACCTTGGAGGACAGGCGGTCGGAGCCGCTGCTGGTGACGTCAGCAGTTTTACAGAGGCACAAAGCCGGAGCAGGAAGAGTAAATGTCTGCACCAGGAAGGAGCCAGGGAGGCCAAGTTGAGAGCACTTCAGAAGAAGTGAATAGGTTCAGGAATCCAGCAGCGCCGGAGGGGTGGAGCCAGGGAAATACTACTCTGTGACAGTTTTGCTCATGAAGTGGAGTGCCAGGAAAACACAGCGTCTGGCCGGGCGCGGTGGCTTATTCCTGTAATCCCAGCACTTTGGGAGGCCTGGGCGGGCGGATCGCTTGAGGTCAGGACCAGCGTGGCCAACATGATGAAACCCCGTCTGTACTAAAAATACAGAAATTAGCCGGGCGTGGTGGTGCGCGCCTGTAATCTCAACTACTCGGGAGGCTGAAGCAGGAGAATCGCTTGAACCCGGGAGGCAAGTCAGCCGAGATTTTGCCGAGGCGCAATCAGCCCAGATCATGCCACTGCACTCCAGCCTGGGTGACAGAGCAAGACTCCGTCTCAAAAAAACAAACAGAAAAAAAACACAGCGTCCAGGCAGCTCCACCTTCCATGTTGAAAGCCTGTGACTGCCACATTCTAGCGGGACTGGCTTGTTTGCCTGCAGAACGGAATGGCCCCGGGGTCTGTCTGGGTCTGGGTCCAGATGAGAAAGGCGCCCAGCCTTCCTCTGGCCCCAGCCCTGCACATTGACCAAGGATGGATGGCCCTCCATACCAGGCACCCCGGCTCCTCCTCATTCCCCTCTGGCTTCTCCCTTCCTCCTACCGCCATGCTGATCCTCCATCCTTCTGGCTCTGGGCAGTGGTTTTCAAAAGCACTGTGGTGGTAGTCACTGGGGCTGTTGGCCACATTTGTCTGGCTTTTCCCCTTTCCAGATGCACAGTGGGATTATTCTTCCTGGTCTCCTTATGGTTGGGTGGGAATATGTAACCAGTTCTGGACAAAAGAGTTTTGAATGGAAATAATATGTGTCATTTCTAAGCCACAGCAATGAATGCTGATATAAGACCCTTTTCCTCTACTGTGGCAACCAGCAATCTTCCAGAAAGTGGTTGCTCCATGATACTGAGTCCAGGAGGGAAGACAACCGGAGCAGAGAGGCACCTGCCCCATGATGGACATGTAGCGTGAGCAAGAAGTAGCCTTTGCTGTTGTGAACCACTGAGATCGGGGGCTTGCTTTTTGGTGGTTTTTGTTTGTTTGTTTGGTTTGTTTTTTTGTTTTGTTTAGTTTTGTTTTGTTTTTTGAGACAGAGTTTCGCTCTAGTAGCCCAGGCTGGAGTGCAATGGCGCGATCTTGGCTCACTGCAAGCTCCACCTCCCAGGTTCAAGCGATTCTCCTGCCTCAGCCTCCCAACTAGCTAGGACTACAGGCATGCACCACCATGCCCGGCTAATTTTGAATTTTTAATAGAGACAGGGGTTCACCACGTTGGTCAGGCTGGTCTCAAACTCCTGACCTCAGGTGATCCGCCCGCCTCGGCCTCCCAAAGTGCTGGGATTACAGGCGTGAGCCACCGTGCCCAGCCTAGGGGCTTGTTTTTTACTGCAGCATAACCTAGACTATCCTGGCTGATATAAGCAAAGCTGCTGGAAATCAGGAAGCTGTTTGTAGAACACTATGAAAGGTACACAGCTTTAAATCCTTAGATGAACTAGAATTGTTATTAACAATGAGTATCACTTATTGACCAGGCGTGGTGGCTCACAACTGTAATCTCAGCACTTTGGGAGGCTGAGGCAGGCGGATCACCTGAGGTCAGGAGTTCAAGACCAGCCTGGCCAACATGGTGAAACCCTGTCTTTACTAAAAATATAAAAATTAGCCAGGTGTGGTGGCACACGCCTGTTATCCCAGCTACTCGGGAGGCCCAGGCAGGAGAATCATTTGAACCCAGGAGGTAGAGGTTGCAGTAAGTCGAAATCACGCCTCTGCACTCTAGCCTGGGTGACAGAGTAAGACTCGGTCTCAAAAAAATAAAATAAATAAAATAAAAAAATAAATCAATGAGTATCACTTATTGAGCACCTACTACGTGTCAGGTATTACACAAGGTATACTAGGTTTTTTGGCAAATGTTTTCTCATTAATCCCCATCCTAGCACTGGGATTTGGCAATACTGGCCTATTCGGTATGATTAGTCTGAGGCAGTGAAACTCAGGGAAACGGACTCAAGGTCATGACCATAGCCTCTAAGTGGTCTTAATATAGCCTCTAAGTCATGACCATAGCCTCTAAGTGGAATTGAGATTCAAATGTAAGGATCTCTGTCACCCAAACTCTCATTCTTTCCACTCCTAGGCTGTTATCATATAAAAAGCAGGACTAGGCATAGTAAGGGGAAAAAAAAAACAAACATTTTAAAAAGAAATTATCTCTTAACAGGAAAAACATTAACATCTGCCATTTTTCTAAATTGAATGTGAAAGATGATCCTGACAGGCTGAACAAAGATGCTTGCTCTCTGTTGTGATGTTTGACAAGGGAATCTTCCTTCATTTTCTCCTCTGATGAGCCTCTCTACCAGATAAGCAGCAGCAGGAACCAAACGTTTAAGAAAAATGTAAAGACATTATTTTGTCCATCACTTAACATTTTTATGAACAAGTTGGGAGGTAGCCTGCATGAATGCCTCTGTGCAATGGAATGAATGGCCGGAGATCTCACCATCCCAGGATGACTTTGGGGAAGGAAGACCCAAACAGCCCACTATCACATGCTGTCCTGCCTGCCTCAGGCCTCCTGTCCTTCTCTCCCTTGTGACCTGCAAACTAACCTTGAGGACTCATGTCAACTGTCACTGCATTGGAAGCCCTCTGTGATAGTTAATATTGAGTGTCAACTTGATTGGATTGAAGGATGCAAAGTATTGTTCCTGGGTGTGTCTGTGAGGGTGTGGCCAAAGGAGATTAACATTTGAATCAGTGGCCTGGGAGAGGCAGACGCACCCTCAATCTGGGTGGGCACCATCTAATCAGCTGCCAACACGGCTAGAATTAAGCAGGCAGAAGAACTTGGAAGGACTAGACTTGCTGAGTCTTCCAGCCTTCACTCCCTTCCATGGTCTTTCTCCCGTGCTGGATGCTTCCTGCCCTTGAACATCAGACTCCAAGTTCTTCAGCTTTTGGACTCTTGGACTTACACCAGTGGTTTGCCAGGGGCTCTCAGGCCTCCGGCCACAGACTAAAAGCTGCGCTGTCAGCTTCCCTACTTTTGAGGTTTTGAGACTCTGGCTGGCTTCTTTGCTAATCAGCTTGAAAACAGCCTGTTGTGGGACTTCACCTTGTGTTCGTGTGAGTCAATACTCCTTAATAAACTCCCCTGCATATATACATCTATCCTATTAGCTCTGTCTCTCTGGAGAACCCTGACTAATACAACCTCCCTTTCCTGCCAGGCTGGGCTCCTGTCTGCCTCATTCTCTTGCCCTGTTGCCCAGGCTAGAGTATAGTGGCACCATCATTGCTCACTGCAGCCTCGACCTCTCAGTCTCAAGTGATTTTCCTGCCTCAGCCTCTGCAGTAGCTAGGACTACAGGCATACGCCACCATGCCCAGCTGAATTTTTTAATTTTTTGTAGAGATGGGGTCTTGCTGGTTGGCCAGGCTGGTCTTGAACTCCTGGCCTCAATCGATCCTCCCACCTTGGTCTCCCAAAGCTCTGGGATTACAGGCATGAACCACCGTACCTGGCCTCATTCTGTTTTTTTAAATTAACATTTTTATTTGCATTTGTACAAAGTAATCCAGAGAGATCCCATGTACCCTTTACTCAGTTTCCGTTAATAGTAACATCTTGGAAAAATGCTAAATGTTGGCATATAAATTAAGCATTTAAATGTCACATATGCAAACACACAAAGATTTAATACACAACTGGCCAGTTTTCTCCTTTGGGGTTATAGGCTGCTAATTGTATTTTATTGTACCAAATGCAGCTTTAGCCTCTTCAATATCACAACCAGGATATTGGCATTGATATAATCAAGATATAGAATATTTCTATCACCACAAGAATCCCTCTTGTTGTCCTTTTATAGCCTCACCCACTTCTCTCCCACCCTGATCCCTACTTTAGCCTTGGCAATTGCTAATCTATTCTTCATGTCTATAAGTGGGTCCATTTAAGAATGTTAGATAAATGGAATCAGCTGATCCGAAGGTGCCGCGTTATCTCAATTGATTGTTCAGTCACAGCAGATAAAACTCCTTGTTCTACTCTTTCCCGCTTCTCATGACTACACTTAACAAATCTTAAAAATAAATAATTTTCCAGGCACGGTGGCTCACGCCTGTAATCCCAGCACTTTGGGAGGCCAAGGAGGGCGGATCATTTGAGGTCAGAAGTTCGAGACCAGCCCGGCCAACATGGTAAAACCCTGTCTCTACTAAAAATACAAAAATTAGCTGGGCGTGGTGGTGCACGCCTGTAGTCCCAGCTACTTGGAAAGCTGAGGCAGGAAAATCGCTTGCACCCAGGAGGCGGAGGTTACAGTGAGCCGAGATCATGCCACTGCACTCCAGCTTGGGTGACAGAGCGAGACTAGGTCTCAAAATAAATAAGTAAATGGCATCATAGAGTACGTAACTCTTGCGGATTGCCTTTTCGCAGTTGGCATAATTCTCTGGAGAGTCATTCAGGTTACTGTGTGCATCAATAGTGTTCATTCCGTGCTGTTGCTGAATTGTGTTCCATGATGTGGATGTGCCACAGTCTGCTTAACCATTCACCTGTTAAAGGCTTTGTTCATTTTTTAATCACCAGTGCCTTGTAGACAGTTACTGTACTTGCATGTAAAGTACGTCCTGAAGAGCAACATTAGCTGTGATTAGGAGTGTAGGCTCTGAAGTTTGACTCCTGGCTCCAGAACTTACTATTCATGTGGGGTTGAGCAATTTACTTAACCTCTGTCTGCCTCAGTTTTCTCATCTGTAAAGTAGGATAGCAGTAGTGCCCATCTTATAGATTTGTCATGAAAATTAACTAAATCTACATGTTATGTGTTTAACCCAAAGTCTGGCTTATGGTAAGAACTCAATTATTCTTATTAAATAATAACAATAATGAATAATAATATAATAACAATACTTAATAATAAACATTCACTGAACTGAATCGAAAACCTAATGAGAACATTCAAATTTGCAAAATGTTCAAATCAGGGGGTTGTAGCAGATTGTAAAAGGAATAATTTGGCCAAGTGTGGTGGCTCATTCCTCTAATCCCAGCACTTTGGGAGGCCAAGGAGGGTAGATCACTTGAAGTCAGGAGTTCGAGACCAGCCTGGCCAACATGGTAAAACCTTGTCTCTAGTAAAAATCAAAAACTTAACCAGGCATGGTGGTGGGCACCTGTAGTGCCAGCTACTTGGGAGGCTGAGACAGGAGAATTGCTTTTTCTAGAGCATTCACATATTACTCTCTAAATAACAAGCTTCACCAGACTCGTTGAAATAGAAGCATCTGAGGCCAGGCACGGTGACTCACGCCTGTGATCCCAGCACTTTCGGAGACTGAGGCAGGTGGATCATTTGAGGTCAGTAGTTTGAGACCAGCCTGACCAACATGGTGAAACCCTGTATCTACTAAAAATACAAAAATATTAGCCAGGTGTGGTGGCGCATGCTTGTAGCCCCAGCTACTTGGGAGGCTGAGGCAGGAGAATCGCCTGAACCCAGGAGGTGGAGGTTGCAGTGAGCCGACCGAGATCACGCTACTGCACGCCAGCCTGGGCAACAGAGTGAGACTCCCTCAGAAAAACAAACCAAAAAAAGAAATTGAAATATTTGAACAAAACTGAGTCAAACCCACTGGCAATACTGTGTCCGTTCAAAGGCAGTCTGCAGCCTCATTCTGGAACAGTGGTGATTTGATTCGCTCAACAATATTGACTGAGCTCCTAGTGTAGGTACGCCAGGCATGGGTCTAGGTGCCGGGGATGTAGTAGAGAAGGAACAGACAACCCCTGGCCCTCGTGGCAGGTAAAAGAGGAAGGCTTACTCTGTCTTACATCTGATTTAAAAGTGGTGGAAATGCCTCATGTAGAAAAAAGGAAAGTTCTGATGTTAGAAAGAGGGGGTCACCTTGAGAGAATGTGGACATGCTGTCTGCTTTATATAGATAGATAGATAGATAGATAGATAGATAGATAGATAGATAGATATAGATATAGATATAGATTGTTTGTTTTGTTTTGTTTTGTTTTTTGAGACAGAGTCTCGCTCTATCCCCCAGGCTGGAGTGCAATGGCATGATCTTGGCTCAATGCAACCTTCGCCTCCCAGGTTCAAGCGATTCTCACGCCACAGCCTCCTGAGTAGCTGGGAGGTGGCGCCCGCCACCATGCCTGGCTAATTTTTATATTTTTAGTAGAGATGGGGTTTCACCATGTTGGTCACGCTGGTCTCAAACTCCTGACCTCAGGTGATCCTCCTGCCTCGGCCTCCCAATCTGCTTTAGATTTAAAGGTAGAATTGGTTCTCATCTTCCTGACTTGACAGGTGTGGGGGTACTTGCAGGCACTTGGTGATCCACCTGGTCCTCTCCCTAACCCCCAACGTACACACTCCTTGAATCATCCTGGTATGTTGATGTGAGCCTGGACATGCTGCCCTGCAGTCACAAAGGGTATCTGGGCCCTGGGCCCTGAGCAGCTCCTACTGGAAATGCTGACTTGCAGGATCCAGCTTTGCTATTGTCCTCTCCTCTAGGGCCCGCCTCTACCTGAGCGCAGTGACTGGTCAGGGAGCTACAGTCTGGCTGAAAAGCCACGGTTCCTCCGAGAGATGCTAACTGGACCATGACCTTGGCCTCATTAGCTTGGCGCTCTCCACCTGAGCTGCCTGGACTGGGGCCAGCCAGGAAAATTAGCTCAGGCCCACAGGCCCCTGGGAGAGGCGTCAGGCAAAAATAGATCAGAAAGAGGGAGAGAATCCTTGTGCAGGAGGGCCCGCAGAGGTCATTGGCTCCGGCATTGGCCCAGCTCTACAGATGGAGGCTGAGGCCAAGGAAGGGAAGGGGCCTGGCCAAGGTCATGCCGCAGTTCGTGCAGAGCTGGGATGAGAATGAGGGTCCCCCTGCTCCCAAAGCCACGTTCTTCCCTCGCCTGTGCCTCCCATCAGGCTGTGGTCAGAGAGGGACAGAAGCAACCAATGAACAATAAGAGTCACAGATAATAAAACAATTCATCATGGGCTATGCATTGTTCCTGTTTTTTTTTGTTTTGTTTTGTTTTGTTTTGTTTTTTTGAGATGAAGTCTCTCTGTCGCCCAGGCTGGAGTACAATGACACAATCTCAGCTCACTGCAAACTCTGTCTCCCAGGTTCAAGCGATTCTCCTGCTTCAGCCTCCCGAGTAGCTGGGACTACAGGCGCATGCCACCACACTTGGCTATTTTTTGTATTTTTAGTAAAGACAGGGTTTCACCATGTTGGCCAGGCTGGTCTCGAACTCCTGACCTCAGGTAATCCACCTTCCTCGGCCTTCCAAAGTGCTGGGATTACAGGCGTGAGCCACCGTGCCTGGCCTCTGTTTTATTTTTTTTTGTTTGTTTGTTTTTAAGCATGTGAAGAAGTAAAAAATAGTCTATAACACAGAAAACTGCTTTGAATTTTTAAATAGATAAAAATAATATATTGGGAGACAGTGTCATGTAGTAGCTAAAAATAGGGACTCCAGACCTCCACTGCCTGAGTTTGAATCCCAGCTCCACCTCTTACTTGTCACATGTCTTTAAGCAAGTTACGTAACCTCTCTGTGCCTTGCTTCTCTCACCTGCAAAATGAGGCTCACAGTACAGCCTGCTGCATGGTGGTGTCAGGCAGAGCTGATCCATGAAAAAAAACACCATGCCCCAGGGCCACCGTGGAATGACACTGAATCAGTGTTGGTAGGCAATGCCAATTCCACAGAAAGGAACAAAAAGAAAAGCAAAAGCTTAGCTGCTCCACTGAGCCCTTTCCCCAAAAGTATCAGCATTAACAGCTCCCTGTGGATTCTTTTAAATATGGCATAAAAGCATCCTACTTGGCCAGGCGTGGTGGCTCACACCTGTAATCCCAGCACTTTGGGAGGCCGAGGTGGGTGGATCACCTGAGATCAGGAGTTCAAGACCAGCCTGGCCAACATGGTGAAACCTCGTCTCTACTAAAAATACAAAAACTAGCCAGATGTGGTGGCGGGCTCCTATAATCCCAGCTACTTGGGAGGCTGAGGCAGGAGAATCGCTTGAACCCAGGAGGCAGAGGTTGCAGTGAGGAGAGATGGCACCAATGCACTCCAGCCTGGGTGACAGAGCAAGACTCCATCTCAGAAAAAAAATCCTATTTTACACAGGTTCTACACGTTGCCTCATCCCATTAATAACATATCCGGGCATCTTTTCTTCCATCTGGTTCAGATGTAGCCCATTCTTTTAAATGGCTATATGATATTGCATCCTGTGGATGGGCCATAACTTTTTTTTTTTTTTTTTTTGAGACCGAGTCTCTCTCTGTCTGTCGCCCAAGTTGGAGTGCAGTGGTGCAATCTTGGCTCAATGCAACCTCCACCTCCCGGTTTCAAAGCAATTCTCCTGCCTCAGCCTCCCGAGTAGCTGGGATTACAGGCATGCACCACCACACTCAGCTAATTTTTGTATTTTTAGTAGAGACGGGGTTTCACCATCTTGGCCAAGCTGGTCTCGAACTCCTGACCTCAGGGTGATTCGCCTGTCTTGGCCTCTCAAAGTGCTGGGGTTACAGGCGTGAGCCACCGCGCCTGGATGGGCCATAATATATTTAACCAGATCCCAACATTAGACTGTCACAGTACACAGGAGTGGTTCCACGTAGCTGAAATAGACAGAGTTGCGGAAAATAAGGCCATGAAAACAGGTTATGGGAAAACTGTCATGGGCTTATCAGCTATGCAGCTACATGCAAATGATAAATTTCTTTCTTGTATTGAGAACCAACTGTTTGCCTCATCATCTCTAGGCCTCACAATACCCTGCTTGGGTAGACTGCCATTAGGATCCCATTTATAGTGAAGCCCAGAGATAAAATTAGTGACTCCCAGTTATACCACGAGTAGGGCCCGAGCTGAATACTAATCCAGGCAGTGTTGCCCAGAGCCCATGCTCTTATGCCACACGAAATTGGAAGTCTGAGCTTCCTTCTGTAGGAAGTGATGAGCCCCCTCTCTTCCCACCTTCCCTGGTCACCAGGCCCAGAGCCAGGTGGGGGCCTTGCTGAGGCTGAGCCTGGTAGTCTAGTCAATGTTAAGCTGCAGCAGGTGCAGCAGAAGGGAGACGGGGTCTCTGCTCAGACCCCAGTCATTGTCCAGCCTGTCTGTTGGCCTCCTCTGGGGAGCAGCTCAATTTACCAGCTGTCTTGAGTGTCTATGGGAATACTATGGGATCACGTGGTCACCAAGACCACACCCCTTCTTCATGGGTCTTCTATTCTTCACCAAGCCCTCTTCCCTCTCCCTGCAACCTCACCTAAGGACTGCCTCTTGCTTAGTCAAACCTACCATCTTTGTGTGTGTTGGGACATTAGCCCAACATGAGCTGGTCCATGACCCAGGGCCACCGTGGAATGGCATTGAATCAGTAATGGTAGGGAATGCCAATGCCACATGTTATGAGTTCCGCTTCTGCGGCTTGTTGCTGGAGCCCTGTGTCACAGCCTGCCCAGGGTCTGTTCCTCTAAGATGAGCCTACCTCCCAACAGGCCTGCAAATGGAGTGGGGGGTGAGTCCCCAAAGAGAAAAATAAAAAGATTCTTTCCTCACCGCATAACAAAATCAATTCCAGATGTAAATGTGAAAGGCAAAACGTTAAGACTTTTAGAGGCTGGGCGTGGTGGCTCACGCCTGTAATCCCTGCACTTTGGGAGGCCGAGATGGGCAGATCACTTGAGCTCAGGAGTTCAAGACTAGCCTGGCCAATATGGTGAAACCCCGTCTCTACTAAAAATACAATAATTAGCCAGGCGTGGTGGCGCATGCCTGTAGTCCCAGCTACTCTGGAGGCTGAGGCAGGAGAATCGCTTGAACCGAGGAGGCGGAGGTTGCAGTGAGCCAAGATCGTGCCACTGCACTCCAGCCTGGGCAACGGAGTGAGACTCTGTCTCAAAAAAAAAAAAAAAAGAAAAGACTTTTAGAAGAAAAGTACAAAATAAAGTCTCTATAGAATATCTTGGGACCAAGGAAGGTTTCCTAAGACATAAAAAGCACAAACCATTCAAGAGAATAAGA
Source organism: Homo sapiens (assembly GCF_000001405.40). Taxonomy (NCBI): domain Eukaryota; kingdom Metazoa; phylum Chordata; class Mammalia; order Primates; family Hominidae; genus Homo; species Homo sapiens. The sequence continues at coordinate 36,113,841 of NC_000022.11, read as the reverse complement.
TTGCTAAATCAGAGTGCATTCACTGTGCTTCTCCCATAGACAATTGTGTATCAGGCCGGGTTTGGTGGCTCACGCCTGTAATCCCAGCACTTTCGGAGGCCAAGGCAGGAGGATCACTTGAGGTCAGGAGTTTGAGACCAGCCTAGCCAACATGGTGGAACCCTGTCTCTACTTAAAAAACGAAAATTAGCTGGGCATGGTGGCACACACCTGTAATCCCAGCTACTTGGGAGGCTGAGGTATGAAAATAGCTTGAACCCAGGAGGCGTTGCAGTCAGCTGAGATAGTGCCACTGCACTCCAGCCTGGGCAATAGAGCAAGACTCTGTCTCAAAAAAAAAAAAAAAAGTGTATCAGCTAACCAACACTGCATAACCAACCATTCCAAAACTTAATGGCTTAAACAATGGTTTATATTTTCTCATGATTTTGTTGGTAGGAATTGGAGCAGGGCTCAGCTAGTGTCATTCATGCAGCTGCATTCAGCTAGAGGCTGACCTGGGCTGGGCCGGGCTGGACAGTAGGAGAAGGTGTCTCTAGGCATGTCTGGGACAGTAGTGCTGGCTGTCTGGGTTGGGGGCCTCACTCCTCCATAGGATGGTGTCTCATCCTCTGGGGCTCTCTCTCCATTCTCCAAATGACCTCTCTCTCCATCAGGATGGCCTGGACCTTCTTAGTTCAGGCAGCTAAGTCCTAAGTGGGCAGAAGTGGAAACTGCCAGATCTCTTAAGGAGTAGGCTTAGAATTGGCATTTTTGCCGCATTCAGTTGTTCAGATCAATCACATGACTGTCCTGATTGAAAGGGAGGGGGGTAGACTCTGCCTTGTGATGGGAGGAGCAGCGTGCTTAACCAGGGAGGGGACAATTGTTGGTGGCCTCTCTGCAGACTCACACCTACCCTCCCAGCCAGCTCAGGACACAGAGGAGAAGAGGGGCAGCAGAACACAGACCCGAGGAGTTACCATGAAGCCTGGATGTTCCCCGGGGGTCTCACTTCTTATAGGACGGTTATCCTTCATCTTACAAATGGGCACAAAACACCTGCATATTCACTGGGTGTCTGTGGAAGACACAATAAATTGATAAGTCATTGCCTCTGGAAAGGGAAGCTGGGGGACTAGGAAGGAGGGGAATTTTTTTTTTTAATTTTTTTTAGATGGAGTCTCTGTCACCCAGACTGGGGTGCAATGGCGCAATCTCAGCTCACTGCAACCTCTGCCTCCCAGGTTCTAGTGATTCTCCTGCCTCAGCCTCCCAAGTAGCTGGGATTACAGGCTCACACCACCATTTATTTTTCATTTTATACACTTTATTTTATTTATTTATTTTTTGAGATGGAGTTTCGCTCTTGTTGCCCAAGCTAGAGTACAATGGCACAATCTCGGTTCACTGCAACCTCCGCCTCCCGGGTTCAAGTGATTCTCCTGCCTTAGCCTCCCAAGTAGCTGAGATTACAGGTGCACACCACCACACCCGGCTAATTTTTGTATTTTTAGCAGAGACGGGGTTTCACCATATTGGTCAGGCTGGTCTCGAACTCCTGACCTCAGGTGATCCACCCGCCTCGGCCTCCCAAAGTGCTGGGATTACAGGCATGAGCCACCATGCCCGGCCCATTTTATACACTTTAGATTTTTATTTCTTGACAGAAAATATATATTTTTTCAATTGACCTAACAAAGGTCACTTAGTACCAAAAGTCAAAGACGGGACTCAAACCTAGATCTGCAGTCACGGTGCCTGCACTGTTTACTTCACATCATGAAAGTTTACATCAATTCACAGTTTTAACCCAAATCAATCTACTTGGGCACAGCTGAGACATAGGTAGCTGAAATCCAAGGGAAGACACAGACACCTGCACCTGCAGCACAGAAGTGACATTCTCAGGAGCCCGCTGGGATTTGAGCTGCTTTGAAAAGGCAGCAAAATCTATAAGGCTAGAGCACGCCGAGAATCCTCGAAGAGACTCGCTGAGTCAGTGGGATGAGCACAGTCCCTGGGACAAATGACCTGGGTCCCAGTACACTAGGACTTGTTGTATAAACTAGACCTTGTTGACTAGTAAATTGTAGACCAGTAAAGTTGACCTTATTGGGGTCTCTCTGCCTCTCTGACCTTTTATTTCTTCATTGGGAAAATGGGGAAGATAATCTGTCCTATTCTACAGGATGGCATTGCCATGTGTCTAGCAAACTCCCCAAAGGTGAAGTGTCAATCATGGGAAGCCCTTCAGACCCCCAGCCAGCTTGCTGGGGGATGGTGGCAGGTGGCTGGCTCTCTCTATCCGGCAGTGGAATACAATGGTGAGACCAGTCTGTGTGTGGACTCTCACACGCGGACGAGTGCTGACTTTGGGAAAAGTTTGAAATCCCCGGGCAGGGCAGATGCCCTCTGAGGTCCCTCCCAGCTCTGGCATTCCAGGGTTCAGGCACACTTCTGGGCTGAGTATTCACCTATAAGCTCCTTTTATCAAAGTTGTCTTCCAGCCGGGCAAGGTGGCTCACACATGTAATCTTAACACTTTGGGAGGCCCAGGCGGGCAGATCATTTGAGGTCAGGAGTTCAAGACCAGCCTGGCCAATATGGTGAAACCCCATCTCTACTAAAAATACAAAAATTAGACCGGGCGCGGTGGCTCATGCCTGTAATCCCAGCACTTTGGCAGGCCAAGGCGGGCAGATCACGAGGTCAGGAGATTGAGACCATCCTGGCTAACACAGTGAAACCCCATCTCTACTAAAAATACAAAAAATTAGCCATGGTGGCACGTGCCTGTAATCCCAGCTACTCAGGAGGCTGAGGCAGGAGAATCGTTTGAACCTGGGAGGCAGAGGCTGCAGTGAGACAGGATGGTACCACTGCACTCCAGACTGGGTGACACAGCTAGATTTCGTCTCAAAAAAAAAAAAAAGGTTGTCTTCAAAGCATGCCCAGTGAGAAGAAAGACAGTGGCCCTGGCTTGGCGACCCCAGAGCTGGTTAGAGGTGTCTAGCACAGCCATCACCTCCAGCCCCGCCTCTGCCTCCCACTTCCCACCGGAGTCTGCAAAACTGGGGTCGGCCTCCTTTGGGTCTGTTTCAGGAATGTTGGTAACTGGAGATTCCTAACAGCGAACCTGGCTCCAAAAACACACCCCCAAGCAGAAAATTCCAGGCCAAAGCAATTTCCCAGCCTGGCAGGAAGCTGCCTGCCTGGGCAGAGGTGGGAGGGCAGTTTGGACCCAAAGAAGGTCCACAGGCTGCCGGCCAACACACGTGGCCCCGACCCCAATCTGCCTCCCGCTGGGCCTGTCCTCCCTCCCTCCTGTCCAAATCTCTTTTCTCTGGCCCCCAGCCACTGGGGGAGGAATAAGAGAGGGTGGCCTTCTGTTCATTTAACCCTTCCCCCCTTCCTCCTCCAGGGTCCCAACCCCCGTCTCTGCCCGTCGCAGTCCCAGGCTCCTCGTCCCAAGCTTCTGCTCCCTGCCGCCACGGGCTAGTAAACAGCTGCCCTGCCCTCCCAGCCACCCTGCACAATGACTCTTATTAAAGCTCCCCAGTTACTAACAAGGGAGACCTAAAGAAGTCCAATCATGTGCCAAGGGTCACATAGCTAGGGAGCCACGATTCTGTCCCATAGCACCACATCCCTCCCTGTGCCCCGACGACAGGACCCTGTGAGTCCCTGCTTCCTCCCTTCCTGTCTTTGCCTGGACTGGAGGTATGGATTGCATGTCTGGCCCTTTTGTCAAAGAATGAAGACAAAGCCATATTCCTCTTTGCTTCCCCAGGGCCAGGTGAGAACTGGATACTCAGAAAACACTGACTGAGGCCGGGTGTGGTGGCTCACGCCTGTAATCCCAACACTTTGGGAGGTTGAGGCAGGAAGATCACGAAGTCAGGAGTTCAAGACCAGCCTGACCAATATGGTGAAACCCCATCTCTACTAAAAATACAAAAATCAGCCGGGTGTGGTGGCTCGTGCCTGTAGTCCCAGCTACTCGGGAGGCTGAGGCAGGAGAATTGCTTGCAACCAGGAGGCAGAGGTTGCAGTGAGCCAAGATCGCGCTATTGCACTCCAGCCTGAGTGACAGAGTGAGACTCCATCTCAAAAATAAAAAGAAAACACTGGCTGAAGGAACCTTTCAGAATGATCAGAAGGGACGTGGGGCAGGGAAGTGGGCAGCTGTGGTGGCCACTTGGCCCCCAGGGGACTGGTCCTCTCTGTGACTGTCCTGTAGAGCAGGGATCCATCACCCCCAGTCCATGGACCAGTTCTAGTCTGAGGCCTGTTAAGAACCAGGCTGCGGCCAGGCGCGGTGGCTCACGCCTGTAATCCCAACACTTTGGGAGGCCGAGGCGGGCGGATCATGAGGTCAGGAGATCAAGACCATCCTGGCTAACACGGTGAAACCCCATCTCTACTAAAAATACAAAAAAAATTAGCCAGGCGTGGTGGCAGGCACCTGTAGTCCCAGCTACTCGGGAGGCTGAGACAGGTGAATGGTGTGAACCCAGGAGGTGGAGCTTGCAGTGAGCCGAGATCACTCCACTGCACTCCAGCCTGGGCGACAGAGCGAGACTCCATCTCAAAAAAAAAAAAAAAAAAAAAAAAGAACCAGGCTGCACAGGAGGACACGAGCAGTGGGCAAGCGAGCAAGTGAAGCTTCTTCTGTATTGACAGCCGCTCCCCATCACTCACATGACTGCTTGAGCTCCAGCTCCGGTTAGATCAGCGGCAGCATTAGATTCTCCTAGGAGCACAAACCCTACTGTGAACTGAGCATGAGAGGGATCTAGGTTGTGGGCTCCTTATGAGAATCTAGTGCCTGATGATCTGTCACTGTCTCCCATCACTCCCAGATGGGACCCTCTAGTTGCAGGAAAACCAGCTCAGGGCTCCCACTGATTCTACTTTATGGTGAGTTGTATAATTATTTCATGATGTATTACAATGTAATAATAATAGAAATAAAGTCTCCAATAAATGTAACGTGCTTAAATCATCCTGAAACCATCCCCCCATCTCCGGTCCATGGAAAATTGACTTCCACAAAACTGGTCCCTGGTGCCAAAAACGTTGGGGACTGCTGCTTTACAAGGTCTTTGCCCCACACCCGAGAGGGGAGTAAAAGGCTGAAGTGTCATCTGGGTACTTGCTTTCTGGCTGTTGGGGCTACATGGGCCACCATGTGTTTTTGCAGCAACATGCCTGAAAATACAAGCCTCTTGCACTGTGAGCCGAGACGTCAGGGGGCCCTTGCCTTGGTCTCTACCACAGCGCCCCCTCCTCCCCTCCCTGCCTACCCTACCTATTAGGTAACTTAAAGATGTACAGCATCTCGGCTGAGCATGGTGGCTCACGCCTGTAATCCCAGCACTTTGGGAGGCTGAGGCAGGCAGATCATGAGGTCATGAGATCAAGACCATCCTGGCTAACATGGTGAAACCCTGTCTCTACTAAAAATACAAAAAATTTGCCGGCGTGGTGGCATGCACCTGTAGTCCCAGCTACTCGGGAGACTAAGGCAGGAGAATCGCTTTAACCTGGGAGGCAGAGGTTGCAGTGAGCTGAGACTGCACCACTGCACTCCAGCCTGGGTAACAGAGTGAGACTCCATCTCAAAAAAAAATAAAAAATAAAAAATAAAGATGCACAGCATCTCAAAAGTATCTCATGAAGCCGGGCGCGGTGGCTCACTCCTGTAATCCCAGCACTTTGGAAGGCTGAGGTGTGCAGATCACCTGAGGTAAGGAGTTCAAGACCAGCCTGGCCAACATGGCAAAAACCCATCTCTACTAAAAATATAAAAATTAGCCGGGCATGGTGGTGGGTGCCTGTAATCCCAGCTACTCAGGAAGCTGAGGCAGGAAAATCACTTGAACCCGGGAGGTGGAGGTGGCAGTGAGCTGAGATTATGCCACTGCACTCCAACCTGAGTGACAGAGCGAGTCTCCATCTCAAAAAAAAAAAAAAAAGTATCTCATGAAATGGAATGGGAGGCACCCTTGTGTCATGGGAAGTGCATTCTCCAGTCTCCTGTCTTGCTTTCCTGCTCCTTCCCTCTCTCGTTCCTCTCTCGCCCAGTCTCATCCCAAACCTGCATGGTTTGGAGGGGGGTGGGCACTGCATGGGCAGTAGTGCTTGGGCTTGATTGGGTGGGGGAGGAAATCCTTCCCCTGTAAACGCTAGCCAAGAATACCATTGGTCTCTATATGTATATTAATAGAAACAGGATGTTTTGTCACTGCAGAGAATTGGTTAACAAATATTGCTTGGGCCACGAGCGGTGGCTCATGCCTGTAATCCCAGCACCTTTGGGAGGCTGAAGCAGGCAGATGACTTGAGGTCAGGTGTTCGAGACCAGCCTAGCCAACATGGTGAAATCGCGTCTCTACTAAAAATACAAAAATTAGCTGGGTATGGTGGCAGGCGCCTATAATCCCAGCTACCCTGGAGGCTGAGGCAGGAGAATCACTTGCATCCAGAAGGCGGAGGTTGCAGTGAGGCATCGCACCATTGCACTTCAGCCTGGGTGAGAGAGTAAGTCTCTGTCTCAGAAAAAAAAAAAAACAAACACACACACACACAAAAAAAAACAAAACACACACAAATATTTCTTAAACACTGACTGGCATTTTGTACCTCCACTTAGAACCTGATGTGCTAGTTATTCATGCCTGGAGTCAGGGAGTTTCCATGTTCAAGTGCCTGCTCTGCCATTTCTTGGCTGTGTGGCCTCAAGCAAGTCACTTAACCTCTCTGAGCATCAGACTTCTCATATGTAAAATGTGAAAGACAATGATTCCCTTCAATCCTCTCTCAAAGTATTGCTGTCAGGGCCAACCGAAATGTAAAATGAACGTGCAGACATGCTTTGTAAACTTCACAACTATGTTACATGTCTCATATTCCTGCTCTGTGTGTACCCCAATTTTCAAACTAGTTTTCACTTGTTGTCTGCCATTAGCTCCAATCCTAATTCTCCAATTCTTCTCTGTTCTTCTCCACGTGTCCTCTAAGTATGTCCTACTCGTTTTCTATCTCTGGATTTTTACTTGTTGACCAGAGGCAAGATATGATGACTCAGAAAGGCAGTACAGTTAAAAGCAAGAGCAGGCCGGGTGCGGTGGCTCACGCCTGTAATCCCGGCACTTCGGGAGGCCGAGGTGGGCGGATCACAAGATCAAGAGATGCAGACCATCCTGGCCAACATGGTGAAACCCCGTCTCTACTAAAAATACAAAAAATTAGCTGGGCATGGCGGTGCGTGCCTGTAGTTCGATCTACTCGGGGGGCTGAGGCAGGAGAATTGCTTGAACCCGGAGGCGGAGGTTGCAGTGAACCGAGATTGTGCCACTGCACTCCAGCCTGGCAACAGAGCAAGACTCTGTCTCAAAAAAAAAAAAAAAAAAAAAAAAAAAGCAAGAGCAAGACTGTTCAGGTCAGAGCCTCTCATCTGCCATAAGCCCTTGAGCAAGTTACTTCCCCTCTCTGTGCCTTGGTTTCCCCATCTGAAAAATGAGAGGTATAATTGTTCTGCTCCCATAGGGCAGCTGTGAGAAGCAAATTCATTAATCTACATGATTGGCTTAGAACACTGCCTGGCTCATGGTGGGCTCTTGATGAACCCTCCACCTTCTTGGCTCTTGGTTTTGATTATAGTGATCAGGAGAAGGAGCACAAGGGAGCAGCTGGAAAAGCCACAGAGCTCAACATCTGTGGCATGGGAAAGAGCTGAGGGGTGAGAGCAGGGAAAAACAGACCTGGGAAGAGGGAAAGGGGGCGAAGGAGAGGAGAAAAGTGGCAGGTTGAGCTTTGGGAAGGCGTTGAGAGCGATTCAGATGGCAAAAAAGAACATGGCAGCAGCAGGGATGTATGCTATGGGAAATGAGAGATTGATTTCTTTAAAGCTCAGTGAATATTTATTGATGATGTATGATAGCGTCCTTGTGATTGAATGTTTGTAATCTAGGCAGGAAGGCAATGCAGATACACGAATAGAGAAGCTGCAATGCAAAAGGGAGATGCTTTGCTGTAACAGTAAAGTGATCTCTCCAGGTGGTGTGTGATTAAATGTCAAATTGGCAGAACAGGAAAAAGAAGAATTCACCAGGGCAGCCTCTGTGGGACCCTGTGATGGACACCAGCACACGGAGATAGGAGTTAAGCAGAATCCTGGGGGAGGGTCAGGGCTTGGATCCCTGCTTTTTGTACTAGAAGCCTTGCTCTTGAATTCACTTTTCTTTTTGATTGAAAGGGACTCTGGATCTAGGCCCTCACATGTCTAGAAATGTCTTCATCTTCCCCCCTCATAAATGATTTTTGGTGAGGCATAGAATTTTACGTTCCAAATATTTTCCTAACAAATAAAAGATTTTTTTCATTGTTTTTTAGCATTCAGTGTAGCTAATGCAATTTTTGGCCCTATGAAAATTCATTTTTTGTAGGTGATCTGCTTTTTACCTTCAAAAACCTTGAAGACTTTCTCTTACCTTTGGTGTTCATAACTTTCATCAGCTCCAATCCTAATTCTCCAGTTCTTCTCTGCTCTTCTCCATGCTGTCCTCTAAATATGTCCTACTCATTTTCTATCCCTGGGCTTTTACTGGTTGACCAGAGGTGAGACGTGATGCCTCAGAAAGGCAGTACAGTTAACAGCAAGAGCAGGCTGGGTGTGGTGACTCATGCCTATAATCCCAGCACTTTGGGAGGCCTAGGCGGACGGATCACAAGGTCAAGAGATGGAGACCATCCTGGCCAACATAGTGAAACCCCGTCCCTACTAAAAATACACAAAATTAGCTGGGTGTGGTGAATGACATGTATATGAAAAATATGTTCTTCATTCATAGCCCGTTCAGTCTGAAGATGTGTGTTTTTCTTCAGCTTGGGGAGGTTTTCTTCTATTACTTCTTGGATTACTCCTTTCTTTGAACTATTTCTGTTCTTTTAGACAGATATTGAAATCTCTGGATCTATCATCCACGTCACTTAACTTTTCTTTCGTATTTTCCGCATCTTGCTAACTCTTTCTCCATCTGCGTTCATTATGTTTTTCAGTCCATTGCCTGCTTTCTTTTTCACAGCTGACTCTTACTTGCATAGATGACCGTTTGGCTTAGCTTGGGTTCTCCAATAAGCAAACCCCTAAAAACAGTATGAATACAAGTGGGAGTTGAGGGCATTTGGGAGATGATACCAAGAGCCGCCGGTAGGGGAGTAAGGAAGTAAGATGGAGAAGGGAAGGCAGCCAGTGAAGGATGTGTTGTCAAGTCATTCTCCGTGGTTAATCATGCTGGGAACTCTGGAAGCCAGTGTAGAACCGACGTCTCAGAGTCGTTCCGCCCAAGGGGTCAGGGAACTGGGGTATTTATACCAGATCCCACTGGTAATTGGTGGAGGGGCTGCTTCCAGGATAGAGGGTGCTAATTCCTCATCACTTTAGGCATGCCACACTAATTGGCATAGATGACAAGAGGACAAGGAGGGGGGAATACCTCAGGGAAAGAAATGCAGGTACTGGCAATTGGAATCAGGTCACCGTGAACCAAAATGGAAACAGTAAGGGTACATGGGCAGGGTACGTCTTATTTCTTTTTCTTTCTTTTTTTTTTTTTTTGAAGGCGGAGTCTCATTCTGTGGCTCAGGCTGGAGTGCAGTGGTGTGATCTCGGCTCACTGCAACCACTACCTCCCGAGTTCAAGCAACTGTCCCGCCTCAGCCTCCTGAGTAGCTGGGACTACAGATGCACTCTGCCACGCCCGGCGAATTTTTTGCATTTTTAGTAGAGACAGGTTTCACCATGTTGCCCAGGCTGGTCTCGAACTCCTGAGTTCAGACAGTCTGCCTGCCTCGGCCTCCCAAAGTGCTGGGATTACGGGCGTGAGCCATCGCGCCCGGCCTATTACGTCTTATTTCATGGATCCTGTATGATCTTGTCTTCCTGGGCACACTGAACAACTTCTATCAAACTCCTTTCCATTTCCTTAAATGCTAGTGCAGTTTCTATAGAGCTTGGAGCTTTTCTTTAATGGTTTTGCTTTTATTGACTTGAGGGAAGTTTGTTGCATGACTGGGGCCAGTGATGATGAAAAGAAAAAGTGTGGGAATACAGTATAGAAGCTGTCTTTTGGGATGAGGGGGCCTTCCATTATTCCTGGGTTCCACCAGCTGCCTAGGACGCTGTCCCATATTTTCCTGTATGTTGCTTTTCCCACCCAAGTCCAAGACACACTGCTCTGGTCTGGGGCCAATTGCCATTGCTGCTTCCTGCTTGGCAAAATAATGGATAAAGGAAAGGGTCAACCTGTCTTGGTCTCAATGCCAGTTCTCAACCACCCTCATGAAAACTTCAAAGCCTCATCTTGCTCCTCAGTTTCATTGTTTCTCTAAGTTGGGAAACTCCCAGAAAAATTCCTGTTATTCACAGCTGCCCCCTTCTGCACATGTTTTGGGCTTTTTTTTTTTTTTTTTTTTTTTACTCTAACAAATTGATTCTTCAACAAATTGAGGCTTTCTGTCCTTCCGAGATTCTTCAACATTAATGGTCCATGAACACCTTCAGTGTTCCAGCCCTATTATGAGTCTATATTTTTAAATATTTCTTTTCTGTCATTGCTAGGGACTGGAAATGAAAGTAGTAGTAAAAGCATGTGCTCAGCCAACCATGTCCATCCAACCCCCAAGAAAGATAACTTAAAGAAGTGTTGCTGAGTGTTACAAATTTAACCCCCATCACAACTGCCCACCCTGACATTCTAGCAAGAACCCACAGGAAAGATCTGGATGTGAGGTTTGTATTTTCTTAGAATGTGTCGATGAGATGCATTGTAGCAGGTCATATTTACCAATAATGGCTACCACAATATCTACCATTTAATCTATGTCTTCTTCTCTGCTTGAGCCAGGGAAGTTATTCATGACTGCCTCATGGCAGAAGAAAAACTGTGACTTCTGAGGTTTCTGACTTCTGGGTTATAAAAATGCCATGTATTTCCACCTTGCTCTCTTGGGACACTCACAGAGCCACCATGCTCCGAAGAAGCCCAAATTCACCCATGTGAAGAGATATATGGAGAGGCCATATGCAGCCCAGATGACCTCCCAGCTGAGAGGCGATGTTGGCCAGGCGCAGTGGCTCATGTCTGTAATCCCGGTACTTTGGGAGGTTGAGATGGGCGGATCACCTGAGGTCAGGAGTTCGAGACCAGCCTGGCCAACATGGGAAACCCCGTCTCTACCAAAAACACAAAAATTAGCTGGGCATGGTGGCACATGCCTATAATCCCAGCTACTCAGGATTCTAGTTCTTTAGGGACAGGTGACATGGCATAGTGAAAATAGAGATGGAAATCTAGTTCTGACATCAGAAAGATCTGAGTTCTAATCCCACCTCTACCACTTACTAGCTGTATGATCTTGGGCAAGTTGGTTCATCAACAGAATTGTTGAGAAGATTAAATGGGATAATGTGTGTTACCCCATCCCTCCAAAAAGCACAGATTACCAACAATCATAGGCAGTCAACAAATATTTATTCAACATGGTTGTGACCATCTAGTGCTGTTTTAAACTCCACCCTAAAACTCAGTGGCTTGAAATAATAATAGCCATTTATTTTATTTCTGAAATTACAATTTTGTCAGGGCTCCACGGGGCAGCACATCTCTGCTCTGTGCAGTGTCAGCTGGGGTGGCCTAACTGGGACCGGAATACCCACTTTTAGGATGGTTTACTCACATGACTGGTGAGTTGAGGTACGCTGTTGGCTGGGACTATCTACTAGGCACCTCAGTTCCTCTCCATGTGGACTTCTCCTCAAAGATACTTGAGTTTCCTTCTGGCAAGGAAGCTTAGTTTCAAGATTGAATGTTCCAAGAAACCAAAAATGGAAACAGATGGTCTCTTAAGACTTGAACCTTGAAACCAATACAGCATCACTTATGCTGTATTCCAGTAACCAAAGCAGTCACAAGGCCCATCCGTATTAGTTCATTCTGACACTGCTAATAAAGACATACTTGGCCCCGGATGGTGGCTCACACCTATAATCCCTGCACTTTGGGAGGGCAAAGTGGATGGATCACCTGAGGTCAGGAGTTCCAGACCAGCCTGGCCAACATGGTGAAACCCCATCTCTACTAAAAATACAAAAAAGTAGCCAGGCATGGTGGTGGGTGCCTGTAATCCCAGCTACTCGGGAGGCTGAGGCAGGAGGATCTCTTGAACCCAGCAGGCGGAGGTTGCAGTGAGCCAAGATCATGCCACTGTACTCCAGACTGGGAGACAGAGCGAGACTCTGTCTCAAAAAAAAAAAAAAAAAAAAAGACATACTCAAGACTGGGTAATTTATAAAGAAAAAGAAGTTTAGGCTGGGCACGGTGGCTCACGACTGTAATCCCAGCACTTTGGGAGGTCAAGGCAGGCGGATCACAAGGTCAGGAGATCAAGACCATCCTGGCTAACACGGTGAAACACTGTCTCTAAAAAATTAGCTGGGTGTGGTGGCACACACCTGTAGTCCCAGCCACTTGGGAGGCTGAGGCAGGAGAATTGCTTGAACCTGGGAGGCAGAGGTTGCAGTGAGCTGAGATCACTCCACTGCACTCCAGCCTCGGCGACAGAGCGAGATTCCATCTCAAAAAAAAAAAAAAAGAGGTTTAATGGCCTCACAGTTCCACATAGCTGCAGAGGCCTCACAATCATGGCAGAAGGCGAAGGAGGAGCAAAGGCACATCTTACATGGCAGCAGGCAAGACAGCATGTGCAGCAGGGGAACTGCCCTTTATAAAACCACCAGATCTCATGAGACTTATTCACTGTCATGAGAACAGCATGAGAAAAACCCACCCCCATGATTCAATTACCTCCCACTGGGTCCTTCCCACAAGGGGATTATGGGAACCACAATTCAAGATGAGATTTGGAGGGGACACAGCCAAACCAGATCACCATCCAATCTAAAGGGAAGGAAAATAGACCCTACCTCTCAAAAGAAAGAGTGTAAAATAATTTGTGTTCCTGTTTAATAACCCACAGACATCTTCTAGGTATCAGATATTCTTGTAGACTCTGCAGTATAATGTGGTCCAAGGCCGATATGGTGCCCTCTCGCATGGAACTTATATCCATACTATTATTTGTCTTGTTAATGCATGCATCTCGTGCCGCCAAGTAGACTGAAAATACCTTCCAGAGCAAGCCTTTTTCTTATTTATCTTTCTATCCTTGACATTCGACACAGTGACTGGCATGTAGTTAATGGACAGGAAAGGTTGCTGAATTAAATTACACTCTGTGGAATAAAATCATGAGAAAGCACTTTATAAATTGCAAAGCACAATTCAAACATAAGATCTGTAGTTATTCATCGGAACTTTTAATGATTTTTTTTGTACCAGCCACTATCCTAGACCCTGTTAATACAGAGATAATAAGACAGAGGTCCTGCCTTCAAGCCACGTTTGCATTACCCATTTCCTTGAAAGGAAATTAAGTCAATGACAGCTAAGTGGTTTAATGTATTAAAAATGTACAGCTGGACGTGCCCAGCCTGCTAAGGCAGAGTTCTAGAGTGCCTGCTGGAACATTGAAGTCACACCCTCCATACACAATAGACAGCCCTTCAACAAATGATAGGAGACTTACTGGCTTGTAGCATTTAAGGAAATCTATGTAATCATTAGCTGACCACGTCTAGTAGCTAGGTTAACTACCTAGCAGAAACTTCAGGGGCCGTATATCACAAAGAATACAGATCTTACAGAATTCGTCCCGGGAAGCCACTAAACAAACAGCAACAACAACAACAGACAGCAATCACAATAACAACAAAGCTTAGGAAGGGGGCAATCTGGTTTCCAGTGTTGTCCCATTATATTATATTAAATGTCCCGTTTCCAACAAAAATGCATGAACAAATAAGAAAGTATAGCTCATACCTGGAAGGACAAGAGGCTTCCTGAAGAAGCCCAGATGTTAGAGTCACTGTCAGTTTTAAATCAGATATTATAAAAACATTCAAAGAACTAAAGAAAACAAGGGGCCGGGCGTGGTGGCTCATGCCTGTGATCCCGGCACTTTGGGAGGCCGAGGCAGGCAGATCACCTGAGGTCGGGAGTTCGAGACCAGTATGATCTACATGGAGAAATCTCTCTCTACTAAAAATACAAAAATTAGCCGGGTGTGGTAGCGCATGCCTGTAATCCCAGCTACTTGAGAGGCTGAGACAGGAGAATCGCTTGAACCCAGGAGGTGGAGTTGGCAGTGAGCTGAGATCATACGACTGAACTCCAGCCTGGGAGACAGAGCAAGACTCCGTCTCAAAAAAAAGAAATATTAAAGGAAGTCCTTGGTGCTGAAATAAAAGGACTCAAAACAGAAACACAAGACACAATTCACTTGAAGAAACTAAGAAAACTAGTACAAGTAACTACATAGGTAAATACAGAAGAAAGACAGTACATAGGTCTTTTGTTTGTAATTCTTTTCTCCTATTATCTGACTTAAAAGACATTTTCCTAAAACAATAATTATAAAACTGTATTGATAGTCTTACAATACATAAAAATGTAATTTGTATAATACCAACACAAAGGAAGAGATAAAAAACAACCACAGTGGAACAAACATTTATATATACTATTAAAATTAAGTTAGTACTTATCTCAACTAGATAGCTTTACATTAAGATGTTAATTATAATCCTCGAAGCAACCATTAAAAAGTGATCTTGGCTGGCACAATGGCTCACACCTGTAATCCCAGCACTTTGGGAAACTAAGACAGGCAGATCACTTGAGCCAGGAATTCCAGACCAGCCTGGGCAACATGGCAAAACCCTGTTGTTACAAAAAAATACAAAAAATTAGCCAGGTTTGATGGTGCACAGCTGTGGTCCCAGCTAGTCTGGAGGCTGAGGTGGGAGGATTGCTTGAGCCCAGGAGGTTGCAGTAAGCCGGAGATCATGCCACTGCACTCCAGCCTGGGTGACATAGTGAGATCCTATCTCAAAAAAAAAAAAAAAAAAAAAAAAGGCAGGCTGGGCACAGAGGCTCATGTCTATAATCCCAGCACTTTGGGAGGCTGAGGCAGGAGGATCACCTGAGGTCAGCAGTTCAAGACCAGCCTGGCCAACATGGAGAAATCCCGTCTCTACTAAAAATACAAAATTAGCCGGGCGTGGTGGTGGGCGCGTGTGGGCCCAGCTACTCCAGAGGCTGAGGCAGGAGAATCACTTGAACCTGGAAGGCGGAGTTTGCAGTGAGCCGAGATGATGCCACTGCACTCTGGCCTGGGTGACAGAGCAAGACTCGGTCTTAAAAAAAAAGAAAAGAATGAAAAGAAAATAAAAAGGATACATATATTATATTTGAGATGGAGTTTCACTCTTGTTGCCCAGGATGGAGTGCAATGGTGCGATCTCAGCTCACCGCAACCTCCGCCTCCCGGGTTCAAGTGATTCTCCTGCCTCAGCCCCCAGAGTAGCTAGGATTACAGACATGCGTCACCACACCCGGCTAATTTTGTATTTTTAGTAGAGACGGAGTTTCTCCACGTTGGTCAGGCTGGTCTTGACCTCCCGACCTCAGGTGATCCGCCCACCTCGGTCTCTCAAAATGCTGGGATTACAGGAGTGAGCTACCACGCCCGGTGAAAAGGATCTTAAATATTGCGTGCACGCACACACACACACACCCACACACACACACAAAGGGAATTAAAAATAGTATGCTAGTAAATGGACAATAAACACATGGAAAGGTGCTCCACGTCATTAGTCACTAGGGAAATGTACATCCAAACTGAAATGAGGTAATACTTCACACCCATTAGAAAAAAAAAAAAGACAATATTGGCAAGGATGTGGAGACATTGTAATCTTCTTACATTGTTGGTGTGAATGCAAAATGATACATCCATTTTAGAAAGGAGTTTGGCAGTTCCTCCAAATGTTGAATAGAGTTACCATATGACTTAGCCATTTCATGCCCAGGTATAAACTAGTGAGAAATCAAACCATATATCCACACAAAAACTTGAACTTGAATTTTGAAAGCACCATTATTTGTAATAGCCAAAGAAGTGGAAACAACCCAAATGCCCGCCAATTGATAAATGGATAATCAAAATGTTTATATCTATACAATAGAATATTATTCAACCTACAAAAGGAATGAAATTCTGATACATGATATATTATCACGGATGAACCCTGAAGGCATCATGCTAAGTGAAAGAAACAGATAGAAAAGGAAACATACACAATATTTGTTGTATGATTCTACTTACATGCGGTATACTGGAATAGCCAAATACCTAGAGACAGAAAGCAGAGTAGTGGGCTGGGTGCAGTGGCTGCCGAGGCAGGTGGAAAGCCTGTAATCCAAGGACTTTGGGAGTTCGAGGCAGGTGGAGGGCTTGAGGTCAGGAATTCGAGACCCACCTGATCAACATGGTGAAACCCTGTCTCTACTAAAAACACAAAAATTAGCCGGCGTGGGGGCAGGTGCCTATAATCCCAGCTACTCAGGAGGCTGAGACAGGAGAGTTGCTTGAACCTGGGAGGTGGAGGTTGTAGTGAGCTGAGATCACGCCACTGCACTCCAGCCTGGGCAACAAGGCAAGACTTTGTCTCAAAAAATAAATAAATAAAAGGAAAGAAGAAAAGAAAGTGGAATAGGGGTTACCAGGGGTTGAGGGAGGGAGGACTGGGGAATTATTGTTTAATGAGCATAGTGTTCCAGAATGGAATGATGAAAAAGTTCTGGAGATGGTGCTGTCATTGAACTGGACACTTAAAAATAGTAACTTCTCACAATATCCCCCCCCATGCCAAAAAATAGTAATTCTTTTTTTTTTTTTTTTTTTGAGACAGAGTCTTGCTCAGGCTGGAGTGCAGTGGCACGATCTCGGCTCACTGCAACCTCTGCCTCCTCTGTTCAAGCAATCCTCCTGCTTCAGCCTTCTGAGTAGCTGGGATTACAGGCAAGTGCTGGCTAATTTTTGTATTTTTTAGTACAGATGGGGTTTCATCACATTGGCCAGGCTGGTCTCAAACTCCTGACCTCAAGTGATCTACCCACCTCGGCCTCCCAAAGCGTTGGGATTACAGGCATGAGCCACTGCACCTGGCCGTAATTCTTACCTTATGCATATATTATCAGAATAAAAAGTTAAAAATTACACACGCGCACACACACGGAATAAAATACTGATAAATGCTGCAACACAGATGAATCTTAAAAACAGTGTGCTGGTTGAAAGAAGCCAGTCACAAAAGATTACATATTGTATGATTCTATTTATATGGGATGTCCAGAATAGGCAAATTTGTAGAGACAGAAAGCAGATTAGTGATGGCCAGGGGCTGAGGGAGAAGGAAATAGAGAATGACTGCTTCTGCTAATAAGCACTGGATTTCTTCTGGGAGTCATAAAAATGCTCTGGAGTTAGACAGTGGTGATGTTTGCACGGTTCTGTTACTATACTGAAAGCCGCAAAACTATACACTTTAAAAGGACAAATTTTATGGTATGTGAATTCTATCTCAATAAAGCTGTTAGAACAATGTATAGTTAGCTGGGCACAGTGGCTCATGCCTGTAATCCCAGCACTTTGAGAGGCTGAGGGCGGGGGGTGGGGGCGGATCACCTGAGGTCAGGAGTTCAAGACCAGCCTGCCCAGCATGGCGAAACCCTGTCTCTACTAAAAATACAAAAAAAAATTAGCCTAGCATGGTGGCAGGTGCCTGTAAGCCCAGCTACTTGGGAGGCTGAGGCAGGAGAAACGTTTGAACAAGGGAGGTGGACGTTGCGGTGAGCCGAGATTGTGCCATTGCACTCCAGCCCGGGTGACAAGAGTGAAACTCCTCTCGAAAAGAAAAAAAAGTAAAGAAAAATGTATAGTTTATCTTGACTTACTTTACATAACTTATAACAAAAGAGACCCATTTAAAGGAAGCCAGGAATATGGGAAATGAAAGGGTTATATAAAGCAAAGAAGACATTCCCAGTCCAATGCCTTTACAAAGATATATACATATATATTTTCTTTTTTTAACAAAGTCTCTGTCTCCCAGTGGCTTGATCTCGGCTCACTGCAACCACCTCCCAGTTTCAAGCGATTCTCCTGCCTCAGCCTCCCGAGTAGCTGGGACTACAGGTGCATGCCACCATGCCCAGCTAATTTTGTATTTTTAGTAGAGACAGGGTTTCACCATTTTTGCCCAGCTGGTCTCGAACTCCTGACCTCAGGTGATTCGCCCACCTCAGCTGCCCAAAGTGCTGAGATTATAAGCGTGAGCCACCCCACCCAGCTAACAACATATTTTTTAATTGTAACTGCAGTATATACTCATTAAGAATTATAAATAACATAGAGATATAACTTAAAAATCTCCCAGCTCTCTCTCATCAGTGAGAGTGTCTATTATGGTGTTTTGGTTTCAAGCAATGATCCCCGCTCTGGTGAACATAAGCGGCAGTGGGCCTCACTGGAGGGGTGCAGGGTTGCTCACTTCTGTGTCTGGAACCCTGAAATCCCAGAGATCCAAGGTCAGAAGCTGATCTGCAGCCCCATGAAGGCACCACGGTTGGAAGAAGCAACTCTAATTACTTCGCAATCATCGAGGAACTGCGCTCGCAGTCAGAGCTCCGGGAGGGAGACAGGCCCTTCTCTGTAACACCCACTCAGGCCTGACTTGTGATTGGACACTCTTTGGTTGTCCAGAACCAATCTCTGTGGCTCAGAAAACTTGGTGCTCTTGTTAGCCAGGCCTGAGACCCATGTTCCAGCCCTGGGGCAATGGGACCAACAGAGTCCCACCCAAACCATGGGGACACAATGTGGGGAAGAAATAGTTCCCCAAAAAAGATCTGGGTTCTGTTTCCGGAAGAAGTGGAAATATGGCTGGGCGCGGTGGCTCACGCCTGTAATCCCAGCACTTTGGGAGGCCGAGGAGGGCAGATCACGAGGTCAGGAGATGGAGACCATCCTGGCTAACACGGTGAAACCCTGTCTCTACTAAAAATACAAAAAATTAGCCAGGCCTGGTGGCAGGAGCCTGTCGTCCCAGCTACTCAGGAGGCTGAGGCAGGAGAATGGCGTGAACCCGGGAGGCAGGGCTTGCAGTGAGCCGAGATCGTGCCACTGCACTCCAGCCTGGGCAACAGAGTGAGACTCCGTCTCAAAATAAATAAATAAATAAATAAATAAAGTGGAAATATATGTTTCTGGATAAGCAATGTCTACTATCTTATCCTTCTACAAAGATGGAGGAATGGATGGATAGAGATAGATACATACTAGAGCTGGATACAGATACAGATAGAGACTTAAATAGAGATAGAATAAGTACATCTATATATACACAAATACGGCTTTATTTTACAAAAATATATTGTTCTGTAACCCACTTTGTTTTCCTTAACAATATATCTACCACATATTGACATATGTCTGACATTCTTGCTGGCCCTTCCTTATCACTAGACACAGATTACCTCATTCTTTTTTTGTATTTTTGTTTTTATTTTGTTTTGCTTTCTGACACAGAGTCTCACTCTTGTTGCCCAGGCTGGAGTGCAAGGGTGCAATCTCAGCTCACTGCAACCTCCACCTCCTGGGTTCAAGCGATTCTCATGCCTCAGCCTCCCAAGTAGCTGGGATTACAGGTGTGCACCACCATGCCCAGCTAATTTTTGTATTTTTAGTAGAAACGGAGTTTCATCATGTTGGCTAGGCTGGCCTCGAACTCCTGACCCAACCACCTTGGCCTCCCAAAGTGCTAGGATTACAGGTGTGAGCCACCGCATCCAGCCATTAAGAATAAATATATAATTATCATATGATCTACCAATTCCACTTCTGGGTATATACCCAAAAGAGCTGAAAGCAGGGACTCAGACAGATATTTGTGCCACAATGTTCATAGCAGCATTGTTCACAATAGCCAGAAGGTGGAAACAAGCCAAATGTCCACTCGCAGATGAATAGATTAAAAAACATGTGGTCTATCCATACAATGGAATATCGTTTAGACTTAAAAAGGAAGTAAATTGGCAGGGCACGGTGGCTCATGCCTGTAATCCCAGCACTTTGGGAGGCCGAGGCTGGTGGATTACCTGAGGTCAGGAGTTCAAGACCAGCCTGGCCAACATGGTGAAACCCTCTCTCTGCAAAAAATACAAAAATTAGCTGGGCGTGGTGGTGCATGCCTGTAATCCCAGCTACTCAGGAGGCTGAGGCAGGCGAATCACTTGAACCTGGGAGGCAGAGGTTGCAGTTAGCCGAGATCACGGCAATTCACTCCAGCCTGGGTGAAAGAGCAAAACTCTGTCTCAAAAAAAAAGAAAAAGGAAGTAAATTCTGGCTGGGCACAGTGGCTCAGGCCTGTAATCCCAGCACTTTGAAAGGCTGACGTGAGGCCGGGCGCGGTGGCTCATGCTTGTAATCCCAGCACTTTGGGAGGCCGAGGCGGGCGGATCACGAGGTCAGGAGATCGAAACCATGGTGAAACCCCGTCTCTACTAAAAATACAAAAAAATTAGCCGAGCGTGGTGGCGGGCGCCTGTAGTCCCAGCTACTCGGAGAGGCTGAGGCAGGAGAATGGCGTGAACCCGGGAGGTGGAGCTTGCAGTGAGCCGAGACTGCGCCACTCACTGCACTCCAGCCTGGGTGACAGAGCAAGACTCTGTCTCAAAAAAAAAAAAAAGAAAGAAAGGCTGACGTGGATGGATCGCTTGAGGTCACGAGTTGGAGACCAGCCTAGCCAACACAGTGAAACCCCCTCTCTACAAAAATTAGCTGGGCGAGGTGGCACATGCCTGTAGTCCTGGCTACTCTGGAGGCTGAGGTGGGAGGATGACTAGTCCCAGCTACTCAGGAGGCTGAGGTGGGAGGATGACTGGAGCCCAGGAGGTCCAGGCTGCAATGAGCAGAGATCGCACTGCCGCACTTCAGTCTGGGTGACAGACAGAGCAACACCCTGTCAAATAAAAAAAAAAAAAAAAAAAAGAAGTAAATTCTTACATATGCTACAATATGGACAAACCCTGAGGACCTTATGTGAAGCTAAATAAGCCAGTCAAAGAGACAAATATTGAAGGGTTCCACTCATATGAGATACTTGGAGTAGTCAAATTCATGGAGACAGAAAGTAGAATAGTGGCCAGCAGGGACTGAGGAGAAGGGGGAATGGGGAGGTATTGTTTAATGGGTACAGAGTTTCTTTTTGGGATCATGATGAAGTTCTGGAAATGCATAGAAATTATGATTGTGCAACATTCTGAATATGCCCAGTGCCGCCACTGTGAATGTGTATGTACAATGGTGTACATTTTCATGGTACACTTTAAAATGGTTAAAACAATAAATTTTGTGTTATATATATTTGGCCACTATTAAAAAAAAAATTAATAGGCTGGTCGTGGTGGCTCACGCCTGTAATCCCAGCACTTTGGGAGGCCGAAGCAGGCGATCGCCTGAGGTCAGGAGTTGGAGACCAGTCTGGCCAACATGGTGAAACCCCGTCTCTACTAAAAATAGAAAAATTATCCCGGCGTTGTGGCGGGTGCCTGTAATCCCAGCTACTCGGGAGGCTGAGGCAGGAGAATCACTTGAACCTGGGAGGCAGAGGTTACAGTGGGCCAAGATCGTGCCACTGCACTCCAGCCTGGGCAACAGAGGGAGACTGTCTAAAAAAAAAAAAATTAAAAAAATTAATTAAAATAAAAAGAGACTGTGACTCTGTCTTGCTGGTGCCGTCTCCCTTGCTCCCACTCGCTCCCTTTGAGAAAGCCAGCTGTATAGTGTGAGCTGCTTTGTGGAAAGGCTCAGATGGCAGGGAACCGAAGCCCTTAGGCCAAAAGCCCTGGAACAACTCAGTCCTGCCACTCGAGTGAGCCTGACAGTGAATCCTGCTCAGATGGATTTTGAGGGGGCTGTGGTCCCAGGCAACCTCATGATTGCTGCCCTGGGAGACACCCTGGGCTGGAGGACCCTGCAATCTGCACCCAGGTTCCTGTCCCACAGAAACTGTGAGATGATCAACGTTTGTTGTTGGTTGTTTTGGGGGCAATTTGTGATGTGTATAGTTTATATTTTTTCTTTTCTTTCTTTTTTTTTTTTTTGAGACAGTCTCACTCTGTTGCCCAGGCTTAAGTGCAGTGGCGTGATCTCAGTTCACTGCAACCTCTGCCTCCTGGGTTTAAGAGTTTCTCCTGCCTCAGCCTCCTAAGTAGCTGGGACTACAGGCGCCCGCCACCACGCCCGGATAATTTTTGTATTTTTAGTAGAGACGGGGTTTCACCATGTTAGCCAGGCTGGTCTCCAACTCCTGACCTCAGGTGATCTGCCCGCCTCGCCCTCCCAAAGTGCTGGGATTATAGGCATGAGCCACTGCGCCCAGCCCTATATTTTTTATTTTCTGTGTCTTATGATGTTTTGGCATCCAGAAACCTTCCTGGCTGGGGAGTGACTGCCTCTCCTGGGGTTAGCCAATTCTTTTTTTTTTTTTTTTTTTTTTTCAAAATAAATTTTTTTAAAATTTATTATTATCATACTTTAAGTTTTAGGGTACATGTGCACAATGTGCAGGTTAGTTACATATGTATACATGTGCCATGCTGGTGCGCTGCACCCACTAACTCGTCATCTAGCATTAGGTTTATCTCCCAGTGCTATCCCTCCCCCCTCCCCCCACCCCACAATAGTCCCCAGAGTGTGATGTTCCCCTTCCTGTGTCCATGTGTTCTCATTGTTCAATTCCCACCTATGAGTGAGAATATGTGGTGTTTGGTTTTTTGTTCTTGCAATAGTTTACTGAGAATGATGATTTCCAATTTTATCCATGTCCCTACAAAGGACATGAACTCGTCATTTTTTATGGCTGCATAGTATTCCATGGTGTGTATGTCCCACATTTTCTTAATCCAGTCTATCATTGTTGGACATTTGGGTTGGTTCCAAGTCTTTGCTATTGTGAATAATGCCGCAATAAACATACGTGTGCATGTGTCTTTATAGCAGCATGATTTATAGTCCTTTGGGTATATACCCAGTAATGGGATGGCTGGGTCAAATGGTATTTCTAGTTCTAGATCCCTGAGGAATCGCCACACTGACTTCCACAATGGTTGAACTAGTTTACAGTCCCACCAACAGTGTAAAAGTGTTCCTATTTCTCCACATCCTCTCCAGCACCTGTTGTTTCCTTACTTTTTAATGGTTGCCATTCTAACTGGTGTGAGATGGTATCTCATTGTGGTTTTGATTTGCATTTCTCTGATGGCCAGTGATGGTGAGCATTTTTTCATGTGTTTTTTGGCTGCATAAATGTCTTCTTTTGAGAAGTGTCTGTTCATGTCCTTCGCCCACTTTTTGATGGGGTTGTTTGTTTTTTTCTTGTAAATTTGTTTGAGTTCATTGTAGATTCTGGATATTAGCCCTTTGTCAGATGAGTAGGTTGTGAAAATTTTCTCCCATTTTGTAGGTTGCCTGTTCCAGCAGCACATCAAAAAGCTTATCCACCATGATCAAGTGGGCTTCATCCCTGGGACGCAAGGCTGGTTCAATATACGCAAATCAATAAATGTAATCCAGCATATAAACAGAACCAAAGACAAAAACCACATGATTATCTCAATAGATGCAGAAAAGGCCTTTGACAAAATTCAACAACCCTTCATGCTAAAGACTCTCAATAAATTAGGTATTGATGGGACGTATTTCAAAATAATAAGAGCTATCTATGACAAACCCACAGCCAATATCATACTGAATGGGCAAAAACTGGAAGCATTCCCTTTGAAAACTGGCACAAGACAGGGATGCCCTCTCTTACCACTCCTATTCAACATAGTGTTGGAAGTTCTGGCTAGGGCAATTAGGCAGGAGAAGGAAATAAAGGGTATTCAATTAGGAAGAGAGGAAGTCAAATTGTCCCTGTTTGCAGATGACATGATTGTATATCTAGAAAACCCCATTGTCTCAGCCCAAAATCTCCTTAAGCTGATAAGCAACTTCAGCAAAGTCTCAGGATACAAAATCAATGTACAAAAATCACAAGCATTCTTATACACCAACAACAGACAAACAGAGAGCCAAATCATGAGTGAACTCTCATTCACAATTGCTTCAAAGAGAATAAAATACCTGGGAATCCAACTTACAAGGGATGTGAAGGACCTCTTCAAGGAGAACTACAAACCACTGCTCAAGGAAATAAAAGAGGATACAAACAAATGGAAGAACATTTCATGCTCATGGGTAGGAAGAATCAATATCGTGAAAATGGGGTTAGCCAATTCTTAACAGATACAAAAGAGCTCAGCCGGGGTTGGAGGCTAGGGGAGGGATAGCATAAGGAGAAATATCTAATGTAGATGACGGGTTGATGGGTGCAGCAAACCACCATGGCATGTGTATACCTATGTAACAAAACTGCACGTTCTGCACATGTACCCCAGAACTGAAAGTATAATAAAAAGAAAGAAAGAAAGAGAAAGAAAGAAGGAAGGAAAAGAGCTCAGCCTTCGAGAAGGCCTTTGGTGTGCAAATCAACCCACAGCCACACCCTCCCTATCTGGCCTTACACCCGGGAGGCAATAGTCCTCTGCTGTAATCTTTCCAGAGACAGGTACCAGGAATCAAGAGTATTCAAATGAGGTTGGGTGCAGTGGCTCACACCTGTAATCCCAGCACTTTGGGAGGCCAAGGTGGGTGGATCGTTTGGGCCTAGGAATTCGAGACCAGCCTGGGCAACATAGTGAGAACCCCATCTCTACTTAAAAAAAGAAAAAGAAAAAAAAAGGCCAGGCGTGGTGGCTCACGCCTGTAATCCTAGCACTTTGAGAGGCCAAGGTGGGTGGATTGCTTGAGCTCAGGCGTTTGAGGCCAGCCTGGGCAAATTGGCGAAACCCCATCTCTACAAAAGAAAAATAAATAAATAAATAAATAAATAAATAAATAAATAAATAAATTAGCTGGTGGTGTGTGCCTGTAGTCCCAGCTACTTGGGAGGCTGAGGTGGGAGGACCGCTTGAGCCCAGGATGTTGAGGCTACAGTGAGCAGTGATTATGCCACTGCACTCCAACCTGAGTGACAAAGACTTTGTCTCAAAAAAAAAAAAAAGAAAAATTATTTAAATCAGCCAATTCTAAACTGTTACCTTGTCCACCCCTTTCCTCGGAAAAGCCAATCAAGGCTGTGTCCTAAGCTCTCTCCTCACTCCTGCTCCTGTGGCCGGGCCTACAGTGGTGCCTCCTCAGGTGGCCCTGGCCAGCGTGCCATGCCTCCCATGTCCAGGCTTGTGAGTATAATAAACTCTTCCTGAGCCTCTCTTGTGGCCACACCTGACTGAGCAGCTCACAAAATAACACTGAAAGTGACGCAACAAGAGGAAACTAATTCATTGTTCTCAGCATGTCTACCTCCCAAATGTTGATAATCAAATTAGATAGAATTTAGGAAAGTGCACGTAAATGTCAGGCAAGACCGAATAATAAAGGATGAGGCTGGACACAGTGGCTCAAGCCTGTAATCCCAGAACTTTGGGAGGCTGAGGTGGGCGGATCACTTGAGGTCAGGATTTCCAGACCAGCCTGGCCGACATGGTGAAAACCCATCTCTACTAAAAGTACAAAAATTAGCTGGGTGTGGTGGCACATGCCTGTAGTCCCAGCTACTTGGGAGGCTAAGGTGGGAGAATTGCTTGAACCCAAAAGCAGAGGTTGCAGTGAGCCGAGATCATGTCGCTGCACTCCAGCCTGGGTGACAGAGTGAAACTGGATGATGTAAGAGGAGACAGGATCACCTGGTAGTGAAGAGCCCTGACTTTGGAGCCAGACTACTCCGGTTGGTTTACAGGCTCTGTCACATCCCAGCTGTGTGATTTTCGGCAAGTTACTTCACCTCTCTGTTCTTCCATTTCCTCTGTGAAATGAAAATAATGAATGCCTTCCTTGTAGAGTCACTGTAAGGATTATAATGACTTAGGAACCCTTAGAACAGTGCCTGGCACGTAGTTCTTTATGGCACTATATAGCAAATAATGTTATTTTACCAATTATTACTACTACTACTAAAGGATCCTATAATTTAGTTAATTATCTTTTTTTTTTTTGAGACAGAGTTTCACTCTTGTTGCCCAGGCTGGAATGCAATGGCCAGGCTGGAGTGCAATGACGTGATCTCTGCTCACTGCAACCTCAGCCTCTGAGGTTCAAGCGATTCTCTTGCCTCAGCCTCCCAAGTAGCTGGGATTACAGGCACCCACCACCATGCCCAGCTAATTTTTTCCTTTTTAGTAGAGACAGGGTTTCAACATGTTGGCCAAGCTGGTCTCAAACTCCTGACCTCAGGTGATCTGCCCACCTCCATCTCCCAAAGTGTTAGGATTACAGACGTGAGCCACCGTGCCCGGCCTCAAAATCATATTTTAAAATGTCAAAGATCTTATAATTTTGTTAAACCACAGAAGCCAGTTCAACACTGTGGTTCCCAGCCATGGCTGTGATAGATAATTATTATTATTTTTTTTTCTGAGACGGAGTTTCACTCTTGTTGCCCAGGCTGGAGTGCAATGGCACGATCTCGGCTCACTGCAACTTCTGCCTCCTGGGTTCAAGTGATTCTCCTACCTCAGCCTCCCAAGTAGCTGGGATTACAGCGCTTGCCACTATGCCCAGCTAATTTTTTGTATTTTTTTAGTAGTGACGGGGTTGCATCATGTTGGCCAGGCTGATCTTGAAATCCTGATCTCAGGTGATCCACCCGCCTCGGCCTCCCAGATTGCTGGGATTACAGGTGTGAGCCACCCTGCCTTGCTGTGATAGATAATTCTTACTCATTCCTGTGTGTACATTGGTTACCAAGGGAATCTGCATGATTGGGTTATCTAATGTATTAGAACACCCGCCCTTCACCAAGACTTGGGATCCCCCAAGAACAACCTGCCTCTTGCCTGTTACATGGCAGATACAGCATACAGACAGCTGGAAGAGGGAGGGATGTTTGCTTGCCGCCACAGGCTAGGGAGATACTGTACACATGTCTGATGCTAGCGGAAGGTCTCCGGGTTCAACCTTAAATGATTCCCGGCCGGGCACGGTGGCTCACATCTGTAATCCCAGCACTTTGAGAGGACAAGGCGGGCAGATCATGAGGTCAGGAGTTTGAGACCAGCCTGCTCAACATGGTGAAACCCCGTCTCTTCTAAAAATACAAAAAATTAGCTGGGCGTGGTGGCGGGCACCTGTAATTCCAGCTACTCAGGAGGCTGAGGCAGGAGAATTGCTTGAACCTGGGAGGCGGAGGTTGCAGTGAGCCGAGATCGCGCCACTGCACTCCAGCCTGGGTGACAGAGCAAGACTCCGTCTCAAAAACAAAAACAAAAACAAACAAACAAACAAACAAAAACATTCCCACAGAACATGGGCACCTCCCTTCCCCTCACTTCCTGAGTCAAGGGGAAGAAGAAAGCCAATGGGCGTGGTCACATTCCCTGGGGAGGCGTGGTCACATTCCCTGGGGAGGGGTAATAAGGTTGGCTGGTATCTGACCCAGAAGCTCCAGGGCCTGAAGACCAGGCTCCATTCTCATTCCCCGTGTGGCTGTGAGTTGCCCTCCCTCCCTGGGCCTCAGACTCAGATTCCGTAAGGTGAGGCGGCCTGCACCATCACCCTGGGATCTGAGAGGCAGTATGGGTCAGTGGTTAAGCATTTGAGCCCTGTGGCCACACGCTTGGGTTTGGATGCCAGCACCGCTACCCCCTAGCTGTGTGACTTCACCTCCCTGAGCCTCAGTTTCCTCACCTGTCAAGTGGGCACAATAGTACCTGCCTCATAAGGTTATTGATAGGGTTAAATGAGTAAATAGATGGAAATTACCTCGGGCTGCGCCTGCCACCTGTCCACTAAATGTTAGCTACAAATTCATGCACCCTTCCTTTGTTGTGTTTTGGAGACTGGTAAGAGAAGGGAAAGAGGTCATGGTCACTGGGACTCTCACCAGTTGATGTCTTCCCTCTTCTCAGACACACACTGTTTGCCCTAGACCTGGAGATGTTGCTGGGGCTGCTGTACATCCTGGCTCCACGGGCACGGTGCCCTTTGCTTGGTACCACACACCCAACCCTGTTGGGGAAACAGAGGAGTTCTGGGGAGCAGCAGGGACTGGGGCCAACCGCAGAACAGCCGTGGAGTCAGTTCAGAAAACTGAAACTCTGGCCGGGCGCCATAGCTCACGCCTGTAATCCCAGCACTTTGGGAGGCCAAGGCAGGCGGATCATGAAGTCAGGAGATTGAGACCATCCTGGCCAACACGGTGAAACCCTGTTTCTACTAAAAATACAAAAATTAGCTGTACGTGGTGGCACGTGCCTGTAATCCCAGCTACTCAGGAGGCTGAGGCATGAGAATCGCTTGAACCTGGGAGTCGGAGGTTGCAGTGAGCCAAGATCGCCACTGCGCTCCAGCCTGGCGACAGAGCGAGACTCCATCTCAAAAAAAAAAAAAAGAAAAGAAAAGAAAAGAAAGAAAATTGAAACTCAGAGAAAGGAAGGATTTGTACAAGGTCATGGGCAAGCAGGGGTGTCCAGCCGTGCGCTTCCCCAGGCCTGGAGAGCTCTGGAATTCCTTCCCTGCACCCTCTTATCCTCCACGGGCTGAGCACAGGGTCTCTGCTGGGAAGTGACCACTCCCCATCTCAAGACAGGCAGGTGTCCCTGCTGGAAGGGGACAGCTTCATGCAGACCCTATACAAAGTAGCCCTGGCTTCCAGAGAGGAGGAGAAAGCAAGCAGGCCAGGCCTCAGTTGCCAGCTACACGGGATCTAATTTAGGGAAGGCTGAAGAAAATTATTTGTTATTGCCTTCCTCTACCCTATGCACACGATGGCCTCCACCTCGAGAATGAAAGGCAGGGGTGGAGGGGGTGGGGCGTCAGCTTTTTCTGACCTTTGAACCCACCCTCACTGCTTCCCATGCCCTTGGGCAAGTCATTTCACTCTTTGAGCTTTGTTTTCGTGTCTTTTAATTCTGTAGCCTTCAGTTTTCTCACCTGTAAATGTAAATAATAATAACTATTTCATAGGGTTATTTGGGGAGATTAACATGCAAATAGAAATGGTTAAATATTGCCTCCACCTCCCCAGGCTCAAGCCATCCTCCCACCTCAGCCTCCTGGGTAGACTATAGGTAGACTACAGGTACACACCACCATGCCCTGCTATTGATTGATTGATTGATTAAGGTCTCGCCATGTTGCCCGGACTGGTCTTGAACTCCTGGGCTCCAGCGATCCACCCGCCTTGGCCTCCCAAAGTGCTGGGATTGTAGGCATGAACCACCCCACCTGGTCCCAGAAATGGGTAAGTGAAAGAAGTAGGTTGTTATAAAATAACATAATTGCTGGCAGGGTGTGGTGGCTCACGCCTGTAATCCCAGCACTTTGGGAGGCCAAGCCAAGAGGATCACTTGAGGTCAGGAGTTCGAGACCAGCCTCACCAACATGGTGAAACCCCATCTCTACTAAAAATACAAAAATTAGCCAAGCGAGCTGGCTCATGCTTGTAATCTCAGCTACTTGGGAGGCTGAGGCAGGAAAATCACTTGAAGTGAGCGGAGGTTGAAGTGAGCGGAGGTTGCAGTGAGCCAAGATTGCACCACTGCACTCCAGCCTGGGGGCAACAAGAGCGAAACTCCAGCTAAAAAAAAAAGTTACTGCACAGAAAATATCTAAAACATGTGTGACAGGCATCAGGGAAGTGGTGAATGGTGACTAAAGGCATCCGCTAGAACCAGGTGGGTGTGAAGCCTGGCTCCACCCCTTCCCAGCTGTGTGGACGTGAGAAATCACCTAACTTCTCCAGGCCTTCATTTCCTCAACTGCAAATTGGAGATTATTTTATTTATTTATTTATTTTTTGAGATGGAGTTTCGCTCTTGTTGCCCAGGCTGGAGTGCAATGGTGCGATCTCTGTTCACCGCAACCTCTGCCTCCCGGGTTCAAGCGATTCTCCTACCTCAGCCTCCCGAGTAGCTGGGATGACAGGCATGCGCCACCATGCCCGGCAAATTTTGTGTGTTTAGTAGAGACGGGGTTTCTCCATGTTGGTCAGGCTGGTCTCGAACTGCCGACCTCAGGTGATCCACCCACCTCGGCCTCCCAAAGTGTTGGGATTACAGGCGTGAGCTACCGAGTCCGGCCCAAATTGGAGATTATAATGATAATTATCTACCTACTGAGTGTGGTTGCTGGGGAAATCATGTAACAAGCACAATATCCAATGTATAGTAAGTACTCAATAAATCCTAGCTACTGCTGTCTTGGCAGTGCTCATGGATGATTTCCAATTGTTCATTAGGTTTTTCTACAATTTTCAAAGTTTCTACAACAACCAGGTATGACTTGCGTGTCTCCGAGAGAAAAAATGTTACACAAATAATGGTGCCTGCTACAGAGTGGCCTCTTGAGATACTTGAGTGCCCTGGACCACCCAACTCCAACAAGCCACCTTCCCCTGATATCTTGTGATCAGGGCATCGCAGGTCTGGCCCAGGGTCATCGCAGCAGGGGATGGGCATGCGTATGGCTGGAGAGATGGCTACAGACAGAGAGAAAGACATCAGGGCGGCCAGGTGCAGCGGCTCACGCCTGTAATCACAGCACTTTGGAAGGCCAAGGCGGGTGGATCACCTGAGGTCAGGAATTCAAAACCAACTTGGCCAACATGGTGAAACCCTGTCTTTACTGAAAATACAAAAAATTAGCTGGGTGTGGTGGCACGCACCTGTAATCCCAGCTATTCGGGAGACTGAGGCAGGAGAATCACTTGAACCCGGGAGGTGGAGGTTGCAGTGAGCTGAGATCACGCCACTGCACTCCAGCCTGGGCGACAGAGCGAGACTCTGTTTAAAAAACAAAAAGAAAGAAAGAAAGGCATTAGGGCATGGGGCATGCATGAGGGATGTGAGCTGTGGGAGGGAGAAGGTGCGTTCTGACTGAATTCCACCCTGACTGTCCTCAAGGGGAAATATGTTTGGGGCCTTTCTGCCTTAGTGACTACCAGGGCAACAAGCTGAGAGAAAGCCAGATGGAATCTAGCTGGACGGGGGGGCATGTGCGTGCTTCCTGGGACATTCATTCAACTTTGCTGCTTGTTTGAAAATTTTTGGCCAGTCTCGGTGGCTCATGCCTGTAATCCCAGCACTTTGGGAGGCCAAGGCAGGCGGATCACCTGAGGTCGGGAGTTTGAGGCCAGCCTGACCAACATGGAGAAACCCCGTCTCTACTAAAAATACAAAATTAGCTAGGTGTGGTGGCGCATGCCTGTAATCCCAGCTACTCGGCAGGCTGAGGCAGGAGAATCACTTGAACCCAGGAGGCAGAGGCTACAGTGAGCCGAGACCGTGCCATTGCACTCCAGCCTGGGCGACAGGAGCGAAACTCCATCTCAAAAAAAAGAAAAGAAAAGAAAATTTTTAGGATGGGCATGGTGGCTCACACCTGTAATCCCAGCACTTTGGGAGGCCGATGTGGGCAGATCACCTGAGGTCAAGAGTTCGAGACCGGCCTGACCAACATGGCAAAACCCCATCTCTACTAAAAACACAAAAATTAGCCAGGCATGGTGGTGGGTGCCTGTAATCCCAGCTACTCGGGAGGCTGAGACAGGCAAATCGCTTGGACCTGGGAGGCGGATGTTGTTGTGAGCCAAGATCGCACCATTGCACTCCAGCCTGAGCAACAGACCAAGACTCTCTCAAAAAAAAAAGAAAATTTTTATAGTAAGATACTGGAACAACTGATTAGCTGAGAGAAAGAGGATGAGAATGAAGCAAGGTCTGAGAAAGACTACAGAGACTGACCACAGACACGGGCATCTCACACACATTTAGAGCAGCTCAGTCACTTAGAAGTCACTTAGGCCATCCCTCTCACTTTTCAGATGAAGAAACCTACATTGGCTCAAGGTGGCTCAACCAGGAGCAGTGGCAAGGAACACTCTCATCACAGCACCAAGCTGCCTCACGTTCTGGATACAAAACAACTGTGGATTTCTCCCAAGACTTCCTTCTCATGTACAAAGTTCTGACTCAGGCTGGGTGCAGTGGCTCACACCTGTAATCCCAGCACTTTGGGAGGCCAAGGTGGGCGGATCACTTGAGGTCAGGAGTTCAAGACCCACCTGGCCAACATGGTGAAACCCCTTCTCTACTAAAAATACAAAAAATTATCTGGGCATGGTGGCACGTGCCTGTAATCCCGGCTATTTGGGAGGCTGAGGCAGAAGAATTGCTTGAACCCAGGAGATGGAGGTTGCAGTGAGCTGAGATGGTGCCACTGCATTCCAGCCTGGGTGACAGAGCAAGACTCCATCTCAAAAAAAAAAAATAAAATAAAATAAAAAGAGTTCTGACTCACCCAGAGGAGAAGGAAAGGCCAGGGCTGGATGGGCTGGCCCCCAGGGACAGAGTGCTGAAGAGGCCTAAGAGGGGCCGCTGCCACAAAGGGACAGGCCAACCCCGCTCTTCATAGCCCAATGTGTGGAGCCCCATGACATGTTCCTCACAAAGGGATTTATGTGAAGTGCGTAAGTCAGTATTGCCATAGTTTACCTCATTGCTTTCTCAGAATCCTCCCCTACCAAGCAATGACTCAGGATGAAAACAAACCAGTGGGAAGGAACAGAAGTCCAGGCCCTAGAGCTGGCTGCATCTGGCTTTCACCCCAGCTCTGCTTCTGATGCACCAGTGACATTGAACACGACACTTGGCTCTTCTGTTTCCGCGTGGTCTGTAAAATGGTAAATTACTTCACCAAGCTTCTGGGAAATGAATGGAGATAATACATACAACAGGCTTAATACAGGGTCTTATTTATGCGGCCAAGAAACATGAAAAAAAGTGGGGCCAGGCACGGTGGCTCATGCCTGTAATCCCAGCAGTTTGGGAGGCTGAGGCGGGTGGATCACCTGAGGTCAGGAGTTTGAGACCAGCCTGGTCAACATGGTGAAACACTGTCTCTACTAAAACTACAAAAAATTAGCTTGGGCATGGTGGCAGGCACCCGTAATCCCAACTATTCGGGAGACTGAGGCAGGAGAATCACTTGAACCCAGGAGGCAGAGGTTGCAGTGAGCCGAAATCTCCCCATTGCACTCCAGCCTGGGTAACAAGAGCAAGACTCCATTTAAAAAAAAAAAAAAAACAGAAAGAAAGAAAAGAAGAAAAGCTGAATATCACTGATCATTAGAGAAATGCAAATCAAAACCACAGTGAGACACCATCTCACACCAATGAGAATGGTGATTATTAGAAAGTCAAGAAACAACAGATGCTGGCAAGGCTGTGGAGAAATAGAAATGCTTTTACACTGTTGGTGGGAATGTACATTATTTCTCAACTATTGTGGAAGACAGTGTGGTGATTCCTCAAGGATCTAGAACCAGAAATTCCACCTGACCCAGCAATCTCATTACTGGGTATATACCTAAAGGGATATAAATCATTCTGTTATAAAGATATATGCACACATATGTTTATTGCAGCACTATTCACAATAGCAAAGACATGAAATCAACCTAAATGCCCATCAGTGGTAGACTGGGTAAAGAAAATGTGCTACGTATACAACATGGAATACTATGAAGCCATAAAAAGGAATGAGATCATGTCCTTTGCAGGGACATGGATGAAGCTGGAAGCCATCATCCTCAGCAAACTAACACAGGAACAGAAAACCAAACACCGCATGTTCTCACTCATAAGTGGGAGCAGAGCAATAAAAACACATGGACACAGGGCAGGGAACAATACACACCAGGGCCTGTCGGTGGGGTGAGGGAAGGGAGAGCATCAGGAAAAATAGCAAATGTGTGTGGGGCTTAATGCCTAGGTGACGGGTTGACAGGTGCAGCAAACCACCATGACACATGTGTTTACCTCTGTAACAAACCTGCAGGTTCTGCACATGTATCCCAGAACTTAAAGTAAAATAAAATTTTTTTAAAAAAGGCTGGGCGCGGTGGCTCATGACTGTAATCCCAGCACTTTGGGAGGCCGAGGCGGGCGGATCACGAGGTCAAGAGATCGAGACCATCCTAGCTAACATGGTGAAACCCCGTCTCTACTAAAAATACAAAAATTAGTTGGGCATGGTGGCACACGCCTGTAGTCCCAGCTACTCGGGAGGCTGAGGCAGGAGAATCCCTTGAATCTGGGAAGCGGTGAGCCAAGATCGCGCCACTGCACTCCAGCCTGGTGACAGAGTGAGACTCCATCTCAAAAAAAAAACAAAACAACAAAAAAATAGTGTCTTGCATGTAGAAAGCCCTCAGTAAATTGTAGCAATATTGCTGCTTTTGTGGCAGTGATATGTTGCTTATTTATTTATTTTTAAATTAAAGACTTGTCCACCTAGTACCTTTTACAAGGGGCAAGTAACATCCTCTTTAAACCTCAGTTTCCTCCTCCAGAAAATAAGAAAAGAAACTCCCACCTCAGAGGTTATTGTGAGAACTTGGGGTTAATGGTGTAAAGTGCCTGGCTCATAGCCAGAGAAGATGGAGAGCTGGCAACCATCCTGCCAGGCCCCCTCCTGCACCCAGGGCAGACATTACCAGGTGAGCTTGGATGCTGTCCTGCACCAAGGGCAGACATTACCAATTGAGCATGGATGCTAACTCTGTGTGCTTATCAATGCATGATGCAGAGAAACTCTATTTGCCATCGCTGTCATATGTTCAATGAATATTAATTCCCCTGGTCCTTCTCTACCACCTTTCCTTCCAAATAACTAACCCGCAATTCCTAACCTGGTTTGGTGAGAGGTTCAGCTTGGAAGAGGCTGTACTAAAATTGTGGGATCCTGTGAGTCAGATAGAGTTCCAAAGGCGTGTTCATACTGCATCCTCTACTATTAAGACATTCTTGGATTTCCTCAAAAAAAGTTTCTAGACAAGGGAAGCCTTCCCGAGAGGGTGATGGTTTCCCATAAGTGTAGGTACTGGGGTTGAGATCCCAGGAACTCCAAGTTCCTCATGTCCACAGCCAGTGGATGAAATTTCTCCTTCAAAGCTTCATGCCTTGGTCTTTCCACATTTTGAAAATTAAAACACCCACGGGAGAATAATAAGCTAGCTGTTTCAGGTATTCACTATTATCAGGAGCTGGGAACTGGCTTGAAAGGCCTTGGAGGACCAAAGAATTAGGGAAAATTATGAGGAGAAAAATTACTTCTGAAAATAAGAATTGACTATAGAATTTTAGGACGAGTGCTAAATTTGAAGGTAGGCAGAACTGTGTTCAAATTCAAGCCAGACCACAACTAGCTGTATGCCCTTGGGCTAGTCAATTAATCTCTCTTAGCTCAAATTATTATCTGTAAGGATAATAATGCTCATTTTTGTTTTGTTTTGTTTTGTTTTTTTGAGACAGAGTCTTGCTCTGTCGCCCAGGCTGAAGTGCATTGGCTGGATCTTGGCTTACTGCAACCTCCACCTCCTGGCAGTGATTCTCGTGCCTCAGCCTCCCAAGTAGCTGGAATTACAGGAACGCACCACCACACCCGGATAATTTTTGTATTTTTAGTAGAGACAAGGTTTCACAATGTTGGCCAGGCTGGTCTCAAACTCCTGACCTCAAGTGATCCACCCACCTTGGCCTCCCAAAGTGCTGGGATTACAGGCATGAGCCACTGTGTCCAGTCATAGTTCTTTTATTGTTAATGCTCCCTCCTAACTTCTTTTTTCTTTTTTTTTTTTTTTTGAGATGGAGTCTCACTCCTATCGCCCAAGCTGGAGTGCAATGGTGCGATCTCGGCTCACTGCAATCTCCACATCCTGGGTTCAAGCAATTTTCCTGCCTCAGCCTCCTGAGTAGCTGGGATTACAGGTGCCCGCCACCACGCCCAGCTAATTTTTTGTACTTTTAGTAGAGACAGGGTTTCACTATGTTGGCCAGGCTGGTCTCTAACTCCTGACCTCATGATCTGCCTGCCTCAGCCTCCCAAAGTGCTGGGATTACAGGCATGAGCCACCGCGCCTAGCCTCTCCCTCCTAACTTTCAAATCTACTGTCAAATGAGACAATGGATAGAAAAGTGGCCCATAGTAAATTTCCCATTAGGGAGAGGGTGGTTGATCACGATTACTCGGTTGTGAGAGAAATCCAACTCCAACTCACTGAAGCTTTCAAAGGAATTTATTGGCTCGTGTGATTAAAAACGAGAGATGTAATGACTTCAGGCTTAGCTAGATCCAAAAGATGAAACCATATTTTCCTGGCTTTCTCACCATCTCTCATCTCTGCTTCACTCTAGGCTGACCTAATTTTCTCCCACTGCAAATAGTTTCTTCCTTCCAGTTTAACAACCCCAGGGCAAAAGAGAGTTGCTCTTTCCCCCGAGTCATTGTATCAATGCCAGGGAACATTCTGACTGGCGCTGTTTTTGTCATAGGCTTCCCTCTGAATCAATCACTGTGGTCAGGGAAATGGAATACAGTGGCGTTTCAGTCTCAGTTACTTATCTACCCAGTAAATACGAGAGGGTTGGCTTTATTACTGACAGATGTATGAGGCCTCTCTGTTTTGGGGAGGGGCAGATATAAAGGTTCTGGACAGTCAAAAACCAGGGCTGTCTCTATATGCAAAAGGCCCAAGGTATATAATGAGAGGGACATTGTCAAATGAGCTAGGGTTGCGTAGGGTCCTTCCAACAAGTGAGGAATAATAAATGCTGTCTCTCTATCATGTATTTTCTGTACACCCACTGTATTAGTCTGTTTTCACACTGCTGATAAAGACATACCCGATTGGGAGGCTGAGGTGGGTGGATCACTTGAGATCAGGAGTTCAAGACCAGCCTGGCCAACATGGCGAAACCCCGGTCTCTACTGAAAATGCAAAAATTAGCCAGCTGTGGTGGCACGTGCCTGTAATCCCAGCTACTCGGGAAGTTGAGGCAGGAGAATTGCTTGAACCTGGGAGGTAGAGGTTGAAGTGAGCCAAGATCATGCCACTGCACTCCAGCCTGGCGACAGAGTGAGACTGTGTCTCAAAAATAAACAAACAAACAAAGAAACAAATAAATAAATAAATAAATAAGACATAACCGAGACTGGGCAATTTACCAAAAAAAACAAAGAGGTTTGATGGACTTACAGTTCCACAGGGCTGGGGAGGCCTCACAATCATGGCAGAAGGCAAGGAGGAGCAAGTCACATTTTACGTGGATAGCAGCAGGCAAAGAGAGAGAGAGCTTGTGCAGGGGAACTCCTCTTTATAAAACTGTCAGATCTCATGAGACTTATTCACGATCAGATCACGAGAACAGCACGGGAAAGACTTGACCCCATGATTCAATTACCTCCCACCAGGTCCCTCTCATAATACGTGAGAATTCAAGATGAGATTTGGGTGGGGACACAGCCAAACCATGTCACCCACCACATTTTCAACCCCTTCCTATATTTGAGAAATGTCCGGCCCTGTGGGCCCCATCTCCCCATGGTGAAATCCAGAAATGTTGGCTTCCCAGGCTTCCTTGAAGCTCGGGCACTGACATGTGATCCAGTCCCACCAAGCAGGCAAGTCCCACCAAAACGAGGAAAAGGAAGTGTGAACTCAAGAAGGAGGCTCTGTGTGGTGAGAGTGGCGGCAGGATGCTCAGCTTTAGAGTGAAATCCTGGGTGCAGAAATGTCTCACAGGAGCAGCGGCAGTGGTAGCATTTTGCTTATCCCGCAGCAGTGGTGGGATCTTGCTTAACAGCTGTTTCTGTGGCTATCTGGGGGGAATTGATCCTGGAAGCTTTGCCTACAACCAGGTCCTCCAGCCCCTCAAAAATTCTGTGAGCTGGGCACAATGGCTCACCCTTGTAATCTCAGCACGTTGGGAGGCCAAGGCAGGAGGATCACTTGAGCCCGGGAGGTTGAGACCAGCCTGGGCAACACAGCAAGATCCCATCTCTACTGAAAATAAAAAAAAACTAGCCAGGTATGATGGTGCACGCCTCTAGTCCCAGCTTCTCGGGAGGCTGAGGTGGGAGAATTGCTTGGCCCTGCTCACACCTTTGCACTCCAGCCTGGAAGACAGAGTGAGACCCTGTTTCAAAAAAGAAACAAAATTCTGTGAGCTAACATCCTTTTCTGCTTAATCAGCCCGTAGGTACTTCTGTTCCTTGCCACAAAGAGCCCTGATTAATGAATGCTGTAATTCTCCTCGGCAGGTACCAGGTGGAAGAGCTTTCCTGGAGGGGCAGTTTTCCTCACTTGCTGGGGGATCGGAGGGGCGGGGGGAACTGCAGGCAGCCCTGGGGAATGCTGTCAAATTGCCTTCTACCCTAGCCCCAGGCCCAGGATCTTGTACCAAGTTCCTAGGGAGAGGGTGACTGACATGAAGACAACACTAAATCAGATAAAAAAAGCAATATGACTGGATGTACATGAATGACCTCTCATGATGTATGTTTCTATTTTTATTGAGACAAATTTCACAAACATAAAATTAGCCATTTCAAAATGTACTGTTCAGACGGGGCACAGTGGCTCATGTCTGTAATCCCAGCACTTTGGGAGGCCAAGGTGGGTGGATCGTTTGAGGCCAGGAGTTCGAAACCAGCCTGGCCAACATGGTGAGACCCCATCTCTACTAAAAATACAAAACTTAGCCAGGCGTGGTGGCACACACCTGTAGTCCCAGCTACTGAGGAGGCTGAAGCAGGAGGATCACTTGAACCGGGGGAGTGGAGGTTGCAGTGAGCTGAGATTGCGCCACTGCACTCCCAGCTGGATGGCAGAGTGCAATTTGTGCTCTAACATAAAATGATATCAAAAAACTCGTAGCATTCTCCACCTCATGCCAGAGACCTTGTCTCAAAATTTTTTAAAAAATGCGCTATTCAGTGGTATTTTTTCATTCACAATGTTATTTATGCAAGCATAATATCTATCTGGTTTCAAAACGTTTTCATCACCCCCAAAATAGACCCCATATCCATTGAGCGGTCACTCCCCCGTTCCCCCCTCTCCTTAGTCCCTAACAACCACTGATCTGCATTCTCTCTATATAGATTTACCTATTCTGGATATTACATATAAAGGGAATCATTTAATAAGTGACATTTTGTGTCTGAGTTCTTTCACTGAACATGTTTTCAGAATTCATCTACATTGTAGCCTGTATCAGTACATCATTCCTTTTTTTTTTTTTTTGAGACGGGGTTTCACTCTTGTTGTCCAGGCTAGAGTGCAATGGCACGATTTCAGCTCACTGCAACCTCCGCCTCCTGGGTTCAAGTGATTCTCCTGCCTCAGCCTCCCAGGTAGCTGGGATTACAAGCGCCTGCCACAACGCCTGGCTAATGTGTTGTATTTTTAGTAGAGACGGGTTTTCACCATGTTGGCCAGGCTGGTCTTGAACGCCTGACCTCAGGTGATCCACCCGCGTCCGCCTCCCAAAGTGCTGGGATTGCAGGTGTGAGCCACCACACCCAGCCCATTCCTTTATTGTTTAATTTAATTAATTTATTTTTTGAGACAGGATCTCTCTCTGTTGCCCAGGCTAGAATGCAGTGACATGATCATGGCTCACTGCAGACTCAACCTCCTGGGCTCAAGTAATTCTCCCACCTCAGCCTCCTGAGTAGCTGGGACTAAAGGCACATGCCACTACACCCAGCTAATATATATATACACACATATATATATATATATATATATATACACTTTTATATATATACACTTTTATATATATATACTTTTATATATATACACTTTTATAT
The DNA here is from genome assembly GCF_000001405.40 of Homo sapiens. Classification (NCBI taxonomy): domain Eukaryota; kingdom Metazoa; phylum Chordata; class Mammalia; order Primates; family Hominidae; genus Homo; species Homo sapiens. The sequence goes on along the minus strand of NC_000022.11, from coordinate 36,074,076 downwards.
ATATATACTTATATATATACACTTTTATATATATACTTATATATATACACTTTTATATATATACTTATATATATACACTTTTATATATATATACTTTTATATATATACTTATATATATATACTTTTATATATATACTTTTATATATATATACTTTTATATATATATACTTTTATATATTATATACTTTTATATATATACACACACTTTTTTTTTTGTAGAGGTAGGGTTTCATCATGTTGCCCAGGCTGGCCTCAAGTGATCCTTCTACCTCGGCCTCCCAAAGTGCTAGGATTACTGACATGAGCCATTGCACCAGGCCCAAAGCAGTTACTGTTTTCCATAGTAACTCCCATTTATCATTCCATTCAGTAATATGCAAGGGTTTCAACTTCTCCACATCTCACCAGTACTGGTTATTTTCTGGTTTTTGGATTATAGCCATCCTAGTGGATGGGAAGTGATATCTCATTGTGGTTTTGATTTGCATTTCCTTAATGACTAAGTATATTGAGCATCTTTTCATATGCTTATTGGCCATTTGTTTGTCTTCTTTGTTTTTGTTTTTCTGTTGTTTTTTGTTCCTTTGTTTGTTTCTTTGTTTTTTGAGACAGAGTCTTGCTCTGTCGCTCAGGCTGGAGTGCAATGGCGTGATCTTGGCTCACTGCAACCTCCACCTCCTGGGTTTCAAATGATTCTCCTGCCTCAGCCTCCCAAGTAGCTGGGACTACAGGTACATGTCACCACGCCCAGCTAGTTTTTGTATTTTTAGTAGAGATGGGGTCTCACCATGTTGGCCAGGCTGGTCTTGAACACCTGACCTCAAGTGATCCACCTGCCTCGGACTCCCAAAGTACTAGAATTACAGGCAAGAGCCATTGTGCCTGGCCTGTTTATCTTCTTTGGATATTCAACTCCTCTGCCCTTTTTTATCTATTTATTATTGTATACTGTCCAGTTTGTTATTATTATTGTTTTTAGATGGCTACAAAGACAGTGTGAGATCTCACACCTAGACTAGCTCTCTTGGTGGAAGGGCTTGGGTACAGACAGACAGCAGGGCTTCTGATTTTCTTAATTTTTTTTTTTTTTTTTTGAGATGGTGTCTCGCTCTCTCACCCAGGCTGGAATGCAGTGGCACGATCTGGGCTCACTACAACCTCTGCCTCCCAGGTTCAAGCGATTCTCCTGCCTCAGCATGCTAAGTAGCTGGGACTACAGGCGCCTGCCACCATGCCTGGCTCTTTTTTTGTATTTTTAGTAGAGACAGGGTTTCACCATGTTGGCCAGGATGGTCTCAATCTCCTGACCTCGTGATCTGCCCACCTCGGCCTTCCAAAATGCTGGGATTACAGGCATGGGCCACCATGCCTGGCCTCTTGTTTTCTTTATTTTTCTTCCCCACCCCCCCACTTTTTTTTTTTTTTTTCTTAAACAGAATCTCACTCTGTCATCCAGGCTGGAGCACGGTGACGCGATCACAGCTCACTGGAGCCTTGACCTCCCCAGGCTCAGGTGATCCACCCACCTCAGCCTCCCTAGTAGCTGGGACCACAGGTGTGCACCACCACACCCGGCTAATTTTTGTATTTTTGTTGTAGAGACAGGGTTTCACCATGTTGCCCAGGCTGGTCTCAAACTCCGGGGGTCAAGTGATCTGTCCACTTCAGCCTCCCAAAATGCTGGGATTACAGGTGTGAGCCACTGCACCTGGCCTCCTTTTTTTTTTTTTTTTTTTTAAAAAAAGCACAGAGATTGATTGGGATGGTGTAGGAGGCTTGCTAGAAGCTTTTATTTTAAAAAATTTCCCCCAAACCCTCCTTCTAAAAACAAATTTATAGGCCAGATGTGGTGGCTCATGCCTGTAATCCCAGCACTTTGGGATGACGAGGCGGGTGGATCCCCTGAGGTCAGCAGTTCGAGACCAGCCTGGCTAACATGGTGAAACGTGTCTCTACTAAAAATACAAAAATCAAACGAGCATGGTGGAACATGCCTGTAATCCCAGCTACTTGGGAGGCTGAGACAAGAGAATTGCTTGAACCCAGGAGTCAGAGGTTGCAGTGAGCCGAGATCATGCTTCTGCACTCCAGCCTGGGCAACAGAACAAGACTTTTTCTCAAAAAAAAAAAAAAATTATTATCCCTATTATACATGTAGGCCAATGTGCCAGGCAGTGGTCAGATGAGTAAACGGAGGCTCAGAGAAGTTAAGCTCTTGTTCAAAGGCAGGTGGCTATTAAGTTGTGGAGGGTAAGACTGGAACACAAACTCATACTTTTCCACTCTTCTATAGGGCCTCAGCTCTTTTCATGGCCAATAAAGTTTTAAACTTCTTTGGGAGGAGGTGTTTTTTCCAGCTCCAGTGTGGCAGGGTATCAGGCAAAAATGCTTTCATGACTGGGCATGGTGGCTCCACGCCTGTAATCCCCACACTTTGGGAGGTAAAGGCAGGATTGCTTCAGGCCAGGAGTTTCAGACCAGCCTGAGCAACAGAGCAAGACCCCCATCTGTACAAAAATAAAAAAATAAAAATTAGTCAGCTGGGTGGTGTGCATAGGTAGTCCTAGCTACTTGGGAGACTGAGGCAGGAGGATCACTTGAGCCCAGGAGTTTGAGACTGAATTGAGCTATGTTCATGCCTGGGCCACAGAGCAAGACCCTGTCTCTAAAAAGAAAAAAACTTTAAACGGCCGGCATAGTGACTCACATCTGTAATTCCAGCACTTTGGGAGGCCAAGGCAGATGAATCACTTGAGGCCAGGAGTTTGAGACCAGCCTGGCCAACATGGCAAAACCCCATCTCTACTAAAATTACAAAAATCAGCCGGGTGTGGTGGCGCATGCCTGTAATTCCCGCTACGTTGGAGGCTGAGGCACCAGAATTGTTTGAAACCCAGGAGATGGAGCTTGTAGTGAGCCATCATGCCACTGCACTCCAACCTGGGTGACAGAGTGAGACTCTGTCTCAAAAAATAATGATAATAAAACAAAGATGCCTTCAGCTACAAATAACAGACTGTCAAATTGCTAAGCTGTCTAAACAATAAAAATAGTTACCTCATTTAACAAGAAAGCTGGAAGTAGGCAGTTCCATTGCTAAGCCTTAGCTGCTCTACTAATCATGAAGAACCCATGTTCTTCCATCCTTTCATTCTGCCATGCAGAGTATGATACCTTTCATCTTCAGACTTGTCACCTCATAGTTGCAGTATGGCTGCCACAGTTCCAGCCATCACATTCTTTTTTAAATTTTTTTGAGACAGAGTCTCACTCTGTCATCCAGGCTGGAGTACAGTGGCGTCACCTTGGCTCACTGCAACCTCTGCCTCCCAGGCTCAAGCAATTCTCCTGCCTCAGCCTCCTGAGTAGCTAGGACTACAAGTGCCCGCCACCACACCCAGCTAATTTTTGTATTTTTAGTAGGAACAGGGTTTTGTCATGTTGACCAGGCTGGTCGTGAACTCCTGACTTCAAGTGATCCACCTGCCTTGGCCTCCCAAAGTTCTGGAAATACAGGCGTGAGCCACCATGCCCAGGCAAGCCATTACATTCTTTTTTTTTTTTTTTTTTTTTTCTGAGACAGAGTCTCGCTCTGTCGCCCAGGCTGAAGTGCAGTGGCACGATGTCGGCTCACTGCAACCTCCACCTCACGGATTCACGCCATTTTCCCACCTCAGCCTCCCGAGTAACTGGGACTACAGGCGCCCGCCACCACACCCAGCTAAATTTTTTTGTATTTTTAGTAGAGACGGGGTTTCACCATGTTAGCCAGGATGGTCTCGATCTCCTGACCTAGTGATCCACCCACCTCGGCCTCCGAAAGTGCTGGGATTACAGGTGTGAGTCACCACGCTCAGCCGCCATTACATTCTTATACAATTGTCTCCAAAGCCAGGAAGAAAAGGAGTAGTCAGAACAACAAGAAAAGTTAACTTTCCTCACTCTAGCTTTCTTGCTCCCTCCCTCACTCTTACTCTCTCTCCCACTGTTTTGTGTGTGTGTGTGTGTGTGTGTGTGTGTGTGTGTGTGTGTGTGTGTTTTGAGGCGGAGTCTCACTCTGTTGCCCAGGCTGGAGTGCAGTGGCATGATCAGCACACTGCAATCTCCGCCTCCTGGGTTCAAGTGATTCACGTGCCTCAGCCTCCCAAATAGCTGGGATTACAGGCCCACACCACCACACCCAGCTAATTTTTGTATTTTTAGTAGAGACAAGGTTTCATCATGTGGCCAGGCTGGTCTCGAACTCCTGACCTCAGGTGATCCACCTGCCTTGGCCTCCCAAAGTGTTGGGATTACAGGTGTGAACCACTGCGCCCAGCTTCCCGCTCTTTCCATCTACCTCACCCTCTCTCTCTATTCTGGCCAGGAGAGAAAATCTTTCTCAGAAGACTCTCCTTATATGTCATTGACCAGAACACGGTCACATGGTCACCTGTAACTGTAAAGGGAACCTGGGAAACCGAGCATCTGGCATTTTCCGCCTCTATGGTAGTCAGTAAACCTTGCTAGCCAGGAAGAAGGAGGGGAGTGGCTGGTGGCTAGGACCGTGGGAGTCCAGTGGGGCAGCAGCAGTGACATGGCCCTGAGGCAGTGACACAGGCAGCATCGTCGGTCTGGAGGAGAAACACGGACACAGCGTCTGGGAGCCTCCTAGTGAGTTCTGGACTGACCAAAGGACATGGGACAAATGCCAGGAGAAAGAAGAAGTCTGTTTTTGGTAGCTAAGGAGCACATGTGAGGGTCTCTGGGAGCAATAAAGGTAAATGGTGGGTCTGAGAGGGAAATTTTCAATAATTTTGCTAGAGACCAGTATAGCACAGTCATTAAAGCTGGATAGCACAGCTTTGGAAGCAGACAGCCCAGGTCTTAAATTCTGACACCCACTGACCAGCCGTGGAACACTGGGGCAATCATTTCACCTTTCCAGGCCTCAGTTCCTCTTTTGTAAATGAGCTAATAGCCATCCCTCCTTCACGAGGCTACTGTGAGGATTAAGTTACTTAATACAAGTAAAGCACAATACCTGCCATCTGCTATTCTCTTACTGTAAGGACTATAGTCATCCTGGTGGATGTGAAGTGAGTCCCGTGTGGTTCTGATTTGCCTTTTCCTTGATGACTAATTATGTCGAGCATCTTTTGTGCTTGAAAGTATTGTTTGCTTATTGGCCATTTGTTTATCTTCTTTGGATATTCAAGTCCTTTGCCTATTTTATTTTATTTTTTATTTTGAGACAGAGTCTCACTCTTGTCGCCCAGGCTGGAGTGCAATGGCGAGATCTCAGCTCACTGCAACCTCCATCTCCTGGGTTCAAGCGATTCTCCTGCCTCAGCCTCCCAAGTAGCTGGGATTACAGACTCTCACCACCACGTCCGGCTCAATTTTGTACTTTTAGTAGAGACGGAGTTTCGCCATGTTGGCCAGGCTGGTCTCAAACTCCTGACCTCAGGTGATCCACCCGCCTCGGCCTCCCTAAGTGCTGGGATTATAGGTGTGAGCCACTGTGCCTGGCCTACCTTTGCCCATTTTTAAATTGATCTGTTTTCTACTTGTTGTTGCAATAAGAGCTCTTTATATATTCTGGATACAAGGCCCTAATCAGATATATTATCTGATTATTTGCAAATGTTTTGTAGCAACGATTGTGCTATTACTATGGTTTGGTCAGTGTTATTGTGGCTCTGTCCTTCTGGTCCACGCAGAAGTAGATGTAGGCTGTTAAAATGAGGTATGAATCTTAGCACATAAACTTGATAGTGCAAAAACTGTGACTTTCTTCTTTTTTTTTTCTTTTCCTTGAGACGGAGTCTTGTTCTGTCACCCAGGCTGAAGTGCAATGGGGTGATCTCGGCTCACTGCCACCTCTGCCTAATGGGTTCAAACAATTCTCCTGCCTCAGCCTCCCGAGTAGCTGGGATTACAGGCACCCACCAGAACTAATTTTTGTATTTTTAGTAAAGATGAGTTTTCACCATGTTGGCCAGGCCGGTCTCGAACTCCCGACCTCAGGTGATCCACCCGCCTCGGCCTCCCAAAGTGCTGGGATTACAGGCGTGAGCCACTGCACCCAGCCCTCTTCATTTTTCAATATCTGAACTAAATTTCTTTATTGATTCTCCATTGCTGTTGATGATGGAAATGTAATCTCAGTCAATTTGGGATTTTCCTACCCTCCTCAGGGTTGCAGATGGCCGTTGAGGGACTCAGATTGAGCCAAGTCCTAGGAGAGGTATCATAAACGCCCCCCGGGCATCTGCCTGCTCTTGGGTCATTGCATCAGTCAGGGGTCAACTAGAGAAATTAAAGACACAGAACAAATAGGAGATATATGATATATGTATGATTTTATATTCTCTCTCCCTCTCTCTCCATATATACATGTATTTGGGGAGGGGGGTGGGGTGAGGGTGTAGGTGTGATTATTGCAAGGAATTGGTTTATACACACAGGGCTGGCTAGGCAAGTCCGAAATTTGTAGGGCTGGTTGTTAGGAAGGCTGGAACTCTTCAGCACAAGCTGAAATTGCTATTGGCTGGCAGAATTTCTTCCTCTTCAAGGGCACCTCAGTTCTACCCATAAAGTCTTTCAGACTCACCCAGATTATCTGGGATAATCTCCCTTACTTGAAGTAAACTAATTATAGACAAATCACATCTACAAAATGCCTTCAAGCAACATCTAGATTAGTGTTTGAGGCTAGGCATGGTGGCAGATCACTTGAGCCCAAGGGTCAGAGGCCAGCCTGGGCAACAAGGCAAAACCCTGTCTCTACAAAAAAAAAAACATTAGCCAGGATTTTTTCATTTAATTATTATTTTTTAAACTAAAAGAAAAAATAGATTAGTGTTTGATCAAATAACAGGAGACCATAGTTTAGCCAAGCTGACACATAAAACTGACAAACTGACACAAAACAGACCTTGGTCAATTTGAAATCTCTGATGTGCCCCACTCCACACCCCCACCTCCTGGGCCAGCCGCCTCCTCACCGCCCAGCACAGTGCGGGGGTGGGTGGGGAGGAGCACAGGGACCACCACCGGGTGGCCTGCCTTTCTTTTTTTTATTCTTTTTTTTTTTTTTGAGACAGAGTCTTGTTCTGCCACCCAGGCTGAAGTGCAGTGGGGTGATCTCGGCTCACTGCCACCTCTGCCTCCTGGGTTCAAGCGATTCTTTTGCCTCAGCCTCGAGTAGCTGGGATTACAGGTGCCCACCCCGACTAATTTTTGTATTTTTAGTAGAGATAGGGTTTCACCATGTTGGCCAGGCTGGTCTCGAACTCCTGACCCCAGGTAACCCGCCCGCCTCGGCCTCCCTAAGTACTGGGATTAAAGGCGTGAGCCACCGCTCCAGACCGCGTGGCCTGCGTTTCTATCCCATTCTGCTATCCCTAGCCGGGAGACATCGCCAAGTTACCTAACCGCCTTTTGCCTCAGTTTCCTTACTGTGCAACGGGGATAATCATAGTCTCCACTTCCTATGGTTGTTGTGAGGAGCAAATCGGCAGGAACAGGGAAAAAGTGCTTAGAACAGTGGCTGGCAGGGCTCAGTCAATATTCTCTCATCCTGCTTCCGCTCCACTCCGGGTGTAAGGGTCTTCCGGGGTCATCGAGATCTCAGCTCTCAGATGTCCACATGTAAGGGAGATCTTACAGGGAGATCTTTCCCTGCCCCCAGCGCATAGCTAGACAAGCGGGGTGGCCTGGAGAAGAGACCGCGCAGCACGTGGGCTGCGGACCCCGAAATCGCCCTGGCCGTGCGCGCGCGCCCTCTAGAGGACGTCAGGGGAACCTCCCGTGAAGGAGAAACTACGATTGTTGGGGACCCTGGCAACTTTGCTGGGGAACAGAGAGTCACATAAAGAGAAGGCGTTTTCTTGTCCCTCTCACTTCAAAAGATACCTTTAATAGGCACGTCCTGGGCTCCCACAGCTCTCAACCGAGAGGGAGGCGCGCCATGGCCTATTGACACCCGGGGGACGGCGCCAGCAGGGGCGGCCTCCAGGGGGCGCCACGGAGCTGCTGCTCCGGCCTCTCGAGAGCAGTGGGCGGCGGGACTCAGGCCCGTGCCCGCGCCACTGGGCGTTCTTGGAAAACGCTGATTTCCTGCCATGAAATGGGCGGAGACCTCGAGAGTTTGCAATCCGGGGTATTGCTAGCTGCCAGCCGGAGGGACATCAGTCACGTGACCGCGTTCTGCCTGCAGGACCCGCTGTGAGCTCCTCCGAGCCAGGCTTCTACCTCCGCCTCCCTCGCTTGATTCCCGGACGAGTATGTCTTTAGATTTGGTCGTGCCTGTCTCCTCCCTTCTCCCTGATGCCCCAGAGGGAGCTTTAATTAGCCTCAGTGCTGCCTGACTGGAAAGCAGTCCGATGGTGAAAATCCCCTGCTGTCAAATTATCTGGGATCCCAGCCTGGCCTGTCTGGTGATGTGGCATGTTATATGTCGCAGTGGTTGACGCTGGCCACAGCAGGCTGGAGGGAAAGGAGAGGATCAGGACAAAAAGTGACACCTCGTGAGGGTTTGTGAATTCTTGCCCCTTTACTAACGTCCCAGCCAGGGTTTCTGGACCAAACTGGTGCTCTCAGACTCTGAAATCCTGCCTCAGAGGTGAAGAGGCACCCCCTGTCCCCTGCCCCTACAGGCCTCTCCGTGGGTTCATTGGAACTTCACGCACGTAGGGCCCCAAAAGCTCCCCGCAAGCTGGAAGAGAAGCAGGCGAGGGTCAGGGAAGGAGCTTGAGTTTTGGAAAAAAGCAGACCTGAGACAGGGACTCGAATCTTGTTCCTGCTAATAACTGGACCCTGGATAAATTCTTAAGTTCTATAAGCCTCAGATTCCTCATCTGTAAGATAAGCATCATAATTCCTACTTCTCAGGATTAAAGAAAATATATGGGAAGTGCCTAGCACAGAACCTAGCATGTAGTGAATAGCTAATAAATATGTGTTGAAGAAATGAATTAGCTAACTAATTAAGTCAATAATCAATGAATATTCTAAGTAGTAGAATCTCAAGCTCACAGACCCATAGAACTGGAAGCATCTTAGAGATCACGGTCCAACCCCTTTATACTAGATGTTTAGAGTACTTCCAGATCCAAGTATCATGGCAGAGTGTTTAAGAATGTGGACTAGGCCAGGTATGGTGGCTCACACCTGTAATCCCAGCACTTTGGGAGGCCAGGGTGGGTGGATCACCTGAGGAGTTCGAGACCAGCCTGGCTAACATGGCAAAACCCCGTCTCTACTAATAATACAAAATCAGCCAGATGTGGTGGCACACGCCCGTAATCCCAGCTACTCGGGAGGCTGAGGCAGGAGAATCGCTTGAACCTGGGAGACTGAGGTTGTAGTGAGCCAAGATCAAGCCATTGCACTCCAGCCTGGGCGACAAGAGCGAAACTCCATCTCCAAAAAAAAAAAAAAGAGAGAGAATGTGGACTATAGGGCCAAGCTGCTTTGGTGCAAACTCTTGCTCTGATGCTAACTAGTGTGTGATCTTGGGCAAGTTATGTAATCTCTCTTTACCTCAATTTCCTCTTCTGTAAAATGGGGATAATGGCATCTGCGTCCTAGGTTGCTAGAAAGAGAAAGAATAAGAGAATACCTTAAAAAACACCTAAGGCAGTACATGTTAACTATTGTATCAGGTGCCATCAGGGATTATGTCAGGCTCCCATCGTCTTGTCCAAAGATTAGTGGTATTCAACTTTTTTCAAACAAAAACGTATGTAAATGTCAAATTATTCATCCATTGGTTCAAAATAAATGTTGAGTATCTGCTCTGGGCTAGGGCTCATTCTAGGTATTGAGGAATACAAACTAAGCGTCTCTATTCTTATAGAGCTTACATGCTACTGGAGGGGAACATAAAATATACAAACAAATGAAAATAAATCTGTAACACATCAGGTTGTGATGAGGGCTAACCAGAAGAGTAAAGCAGGATAAAGAGAGATGCAAATAGGAAATGTGTACATGGGTTCAGGGAAGCCCTCTCTGATAAAGAGACGGTTGAGCAAAGATCTGAAGCAAGTAGGAGAGTAATCACTGTTGATATCCGGAAGGAAGAGCAATCCAGGCAGGGGGAACAGCCAGTGCAATGGCCCTGAGGTAGGAGAGTGCTTAGCATAATCAAGGACAGCATGACTGGAGGAGAGGGAGCAAGGGAGAGGGTGGTAGATGAGGTCAGAGAGGTAGTCAAGGATGGTGAGAAGTGGTTGGATTATGGGAACATTTTAAAGATGGAGGTGGCCAGGCATGGTGGCTCATGCCTTTAATCCCAGCACTTTGAAAGGCCGAGGTTGGTGGATCCCTTGAGTTCAGAAGTTCGAGAGCAGCCTGGCCAACACGGCAAAACCCCATCTCTAATAAAAACACAAAAATTAGCCGGGTGTGGTGGCACATGCCTGTAGTCCCAGCTACCCAGGAGGCTGACGCAGGAGAATTGCTTGAACCGGGGAGGGAGAGTTGCACTGAGCCGAGATCATGCCATTGCACTCCAGCCTGAGCAACAGAGCGAGACTCCGTCTCAAAAAAGAAAGAAAGAAAGAAAAAAGATGGGGCTAACAGGATTTGCTGCTGGATTTAATGCCTTCATTGTTTTTGGCCTAAGCAACTGGAAGAATGGAGTTGCTATATATGTATTTATTTGTTAGATGAGGAAGACTCTAGGAATAAGTTTAGATTGAGAGAAATCAAGAATCCATTTTGGGACACATTAAGCTTGAAGCCCATTAGAGAGGACAGCCAAGACTATAAGGAATTTAGATGAAAGTGATACTGCTATGGGGAGGAGCAATGGGTGGGTGAGTGTGGGCAGATAGCCAACATGTCCTGTCATTTCTACTTATAGAATGTTCCTTGCAAAAATACTCTCCTCTCCTATTCCCAATCCCATTGCCTTTTTTTTTTTTCTTCTGGAGACAGGATCTTGCTCTATCACCCAGGCTGGAGTACAGTGGCGTGATTTTGGCTCACTGCAGCCTTGACCTCCCAGGCTTAAGCGATCCTCCCAGCTCAGCCTCCCAATTAGCTTGGACTACAGGCGTATGCCACCATGTCAGGCTAACTTTTGTAATTTTTGTAGAGATGAGATTTTGCCATGATGCCCAGCCTGCTCTTGAACTTCTCTGAGCTCAAGCAATCCTCCTTCCTTGTCCTCCCGAAGTGTTGGGATTATAGGCATGAGCCACTGCATCCAGTCCCCTTCCATTCTTATGTCTCACTCCCTGACTGGGGCACCTGCGCGCAACCTGGTTCCACTCTGGCCTTGCTTCCACACTGCCTTTAGAAGGATCTTTCTAGTATAAAATCTCCCCTCTTGTTCAAATCTGACGCTGACTTTTCTTTCGTTGTAGCTCATTTTAGCAATGGTTTTCAAACTTTTTGGTCTCAGGACCCCTTTACAGTTATAAAAGTTAATGAAGAGCCAGGTGCGGTGGCTCAAGCCTGTAATCCCAGCACTTTGGGCGGCTGAGGCAGGTGGATCACTTGAGGTCAGGAGTTTGAGACCAGCCTGACCAACATGGTGAAACCCTGTCTCTACTAAAAAAATGCAAAATTAGCCAGGTGTGGTGGTGCATGCCTGTAATCCCAGCAACATGGGAGGCTGAGGCAGGAGAATCACTTGAACCTGGGAGATGGAGGTTGCAGTGAACCAAGATCATGCCATTTGCACTCCAGCCTAGGCAATAAGAGTGAAACTCCATCTCAAAAAAAAAAAAAAGAAAAAAGTTATTGACGACTCCAAAGAGCTTTTGTTCATGTAGGTTATATCTATCAACATTTACCAGATTAGAAATTGAAAGTGAGAATATTTCAAAATATTTATTTATTTATTTAAAAATAGGCCAGGCATAGTGATTCACGCCTGCAATCCCAGTACTTTGGGAGCCCAAGCCTGGCGGATCACTTGAGGTCAGGAGTTCAAGACCAGCCTGGCCAACAGGGTGAAACTTTGTCTCTACTAAAAATACAAAAATTAGCCAGGCATAGTGGCAGGCACCTGTAGTTCCAGCTACTTGAGAGGCTGAAGCAGGAGAATTGCTTGAACCCGGGAGGCAAAGGTTGCAGTGAGCAGAGATTGTGACACTGCATTCCAGCCTGGGCAACAGAGCAAGACTCCATCTCAAAATAAATAAATAAATAAAATAAAATAGTAAGCTCATTACATGTAAATATTTTTGCGAAAAATAGCTAAATCTTCCAAGACAAAAATAATTGGTGAGCAACATGGCATTGTTTTACAGCTTTGCAAGTCTTTTTGTTGTTTGGCTTAAATAGAAAACATCTCAATTCTCATCTTTGCTTCTGCAGTCAATCTGTTGCAATTTATTGTTTTGGTTGAAGTTTATGAGAAGATTGGCCCTCACATAAATATGTACTTGGGGGAAAATGAGGGCTATTTTTATGGCCTTTCAGATAATTGTCTTCTTTAATACTACACCAAAACTCAACTTGTGATAGCTCAAGTGATAGTTTCGTAAAGGTTAGTTGCAATGTGGGATACGGCTTCAATATACATAGACTTTTCTTACTCTGTTACATTGAAATCCATTGATCTAGCTTGCTTTTTTTTTTTTTTTTTTTTTTTGAGATGGAGTCTTGCTCTGTCGCCCAGTCTGGAGTGCAGTGGTGCAATCTCGGCTCACTGCAAGCTCCGCCTCCCAGGTTCATGCCATTCTCCTGCCTCAGACTCCCGATTAGCTGAGACTACAGGCACCCGCCACCTAGCCCAGCTAATTTTTTTGTATTTTTAGTGGAGACGGGGTTTCACCGTGTTAGCCAGGATGGTCTCGATCTCCTGACCTCGTGATCCACCCACCTCGGCCTCCCAAAGTGCTGGGATTACAGGCGTGCTATCTTGCATTTTTAATAGATATTTCATCCATGTATGATTTGACAGTATCAAGCATTGATCCTGTGGAAGATATTGATTCACTAACTTAAGCACAGCTTCCAAACAGTGATATATTTCATTACACTGTTGAATGTTGAGAAATCTCATTAGTTGAAAAATCTCATTAGTTAATGTTACCAGTGATATTACCACTGATTTTATCAGAAAATTATTTTAGTACTGGGACGCTGTCAAAGCCATGGTGTAAAATTTCCGACATTTAAGTTTTTGCTCAAAAGCTCAAGTGTTATCATTGACAACAAATACTGTCAGTTGCTTTCCTTGAAGTGACCATCTCACTGCATTCATTTTGTTTTTCAGTAGTTAGGAGTTTTTTAATCTTTCTCAAATAACTTTTTTTTAAAAACATTTTTTATTTCCATAGGTTTTGGAGGGAACAGGTGTATCTGTTACATGAATAAGTTCTTTAGTGGTGATTTGTGAGATTTTGGTGCACCCATCACCCAAACAGTATACACTAAATCCAATTTGTAGTCTTTTATTCTTCACCCCCTTCCCACCCTTACCCTCCGAGTCTTCAAAGTCCATTGTATCATTCTTATGCCTTTGCATCCTCATAGCTTAGCTCCCACTTATGAGTGAGAATATACGATGTTTGATTTTCCATTCCTGAGTTACCTCACTTAGAATAATAGTCTCCAGCTGGGCGCGGTGGCTCATGCCTGTAGTCCCAGCACTTTGGGAGGCCGAGACGGGCGGATCACGAGTTCAGCAGATCGAGACCATCCTGGCTAACACGGCGAAACCCCGTCTCCACTAAAAATACAAAAAATTAGCCAGGCATGGTGGTGGGCGCCTGTAGTCCCAGCTACTCGGGAGGCTGAGGCAGGAGAATGGCGTGAACCCAGGAGGCGGAGCTTGCAGTGAGCAGAGATCGTGCCACTGCACTCCAGCCTGGGCGACAGAGCAAAACTCCATCTCAAAAAAAAAAAAAAAAAGAATAATAGTCCCCAATCTCATCCAGGTTGCTGTGAATGCCATTAATTCATTTCTTATTATGGCTGAGTGATATCCCATCATATATGTGTGTGTGTGTGTGTGTGTATATATATGTATATATATGTACGTGTGTGTATATATGTATATATATGTACGTGTGTATATATATGTATATATGTACGTGTGTATATATGTATATATGTACGTGTGTATATATATGTATATATATGTACGTGTGTATATATATGTGTGTATATATATACACACACATATACAGGTACACATGTATATATATATACATATATATACACACACACACACACACACCCCCCACAGTTTCTTTATTCACTCATTGATTGGTGGGCATTTGTCTGGTTCCACATTTTTGCAATTGCAAATTGTGCTGCTATAAACATCGCTGCATTCATTTTTAAGAAAATATCTGCCAAATACTAAAATCCGAAGAGTCATAATTTTTTTCTTTGGCAGTTGTTCTTTCAACTAAAATATGGCATTCCATAAAGAATGGCTAGTTTCACCTGCAACTCAAACAATTACACAAGTGCCTTTCCTAGAGATAACCACAGTACTTTGGTATGCAAAAGAATTGTTTTATACATACTTCCCATTCCATCACACAGAATAATAGAAAGTCGTGCTGAAGGGTGAAGACTTAATAAAAATGATAATTTTACTGTTTCATTGAGGATATTCTTCTTAGATAAAACAAACTTTTTTTTTTTTTTTTTTTGAGACGGAGTCTCACTCTATCACCCAGACTGGAGTGCAGTGGCACAATCTCAGAGGCATAATCTCAGCTGACTGCAACTTCTGCCTCCCAGGCTCAAGTGATTCTTATGCCTCAGCCTCCCAAGTAGCTGGGATTACAGGCATCCACCGCCACATGCGGCTAATTTTTGTATTTTTAATGGAGACAGGGTTTTGCCATATTGGCCAGGCTGGTCTCGAACCCTGACCTCAAGGGATCTACCTGCCTTGGCCTCCCAAAGTGCTGGCATGTGAGCCACCGAGCCCACCCAAAACTCAATTTCATTTGAAACAACAGAAAGCTTTTTGCACGTCTACAGTGTGCACATTTGATGCCTAAAACAGAGACTGTCAAAGAATCTTGAAATGTCTAGGTAGGAAGTTTAGGCCAAGAAGTCAACTAGTGTATCCCTCTGACCATGTTATTTTGTGGGTTTTTTGTTTGTTTGTTTGCGAGACAGAGTCTTGTGCAGTGGTGAAATCTCGGCTCTCTGAAATCTCCACCTCCCAGGTTCAAGTGATTCTCCTGCCTCAGCCCCCTGAGTCACTGAAATTACAGGCACATGCCACCACACCCGGCTAATTTTTGTATTTTTAGTAGAGACGAGGTTTCATTATGTTGGCCAGGTTGGTCTCAAACTCCTAATCTCAAGTGACCCACCCACCTTGGCCTCCCAAAGTGTTGGGATTACAAGTATGAGCCACCGCACCCGGCCCCACTCAATATTGCTCTTGCACCATCATTCAAAATGTCAGGCAGGGTGTGTTGGCTCACACCTGTAATCCCAGCACTTTGGGAGGCCGAGGCGGGCAGATCATGAGGTCAGGAGATGGAGACCATCCTGGCTAACATGGTGAAACCCTGTCTCTTCTAAAAATACAAAAAAAAAAAAAAAAAAAAAAAATTAGCTGGGTGTGGTGGTGCAAGCCTATAATCCCAGCTACTTGGGAGCCTGAGGCAAGAGAATCCGCGCCACTGCACTCCAGCCTGGGTGACAGAGTGAGACTTGGTGTCAAAAAAAAAAAAAGTCAACAAAATAAAAAGAGCAAATCTTATGTTAGCATTGTTACAAAAATGATTTTGACCTCTTGGACTTCTTGAGAGGATTTGGAGACCACACTTTGAGAAATGATGCCCTACAGGCACCAAACTTCTTGGTGTGGCCCAGATAGCTCTCCATGACCTGCCCCTGCCAACCTCTCCAGCCCCGTCTCTCATACCATTCCATCTCTAATCAAGCCCATGCTTCAGCTGGGAAGAATAGACTCATTCTGCAGAGAAAGAGACCTGGCTCTAGAACCAAAACCAAGCTGCCTAGTTGCTCAAGAAGTGATATTCTTTTTTTTTTTTTTTTTTTGAGATGGAGTTTTGTTCTTGTCACCCAGGCTGGAGTGCAATGGCATGATCTCGGCTCACTGCAACCTCTGCCTCCTGGGTTCAAGTGATTCTCCTGCCTCAGCCTCCCGAGTAGCTGTGATTACAGGCATGAGCCACCACACCCAGCTAATTTTTGTATTTTTAGTAGAGAAGGGGTTTCACCATGTTGGCCAGGTTAGTCTCAAACTCCTGACCTCAGGTGATCCACCCACCTTGGCCTCCCAAAGTGCTGGGATTATAGGAATGAGGCACTGCTTCCAGCCAAGAAGTGGCATTCTTTCATGCTTCCAACCTCTGGGTGATATGATTTGGATCTGTGTCCCCACCCAAATCTCATCTTGTAGCTCCCATAATTCCCATGTGTTGTGGGAGGAACCCAGTGGAAGATGATTGAATCATGGGAGTGGGTCTTTCCTGTGCTGTTCTTGTGATAGTGAATGGGTCTTACGAGATCTGATTGTTTTAAAAAACAGGAGTTTCTCTGCATAAGCTCTTTTTTTGCCTGCTGCCACTCATGTAAGACGTGACTTGCTCCTCCTTGCCTTCCACCATGATTGTGAGGCTTCCCCAGCCAACCAGAACTGTAAGTCATTAAACCTCTTTCTTTTGTAAATTGCCCAGTCTCCAGTATGTCTTTATCAGCAGCATGAAAATGGACTAATACACTGGGCCTTTGCTTGAGCTGCTCACCCTGCCCAGAAGCCCCCTTCCCTTCTGGTGAGCTCCTATTCAGTCATCAAGGTCTAGTTCAAATATCATTTCCCCTGTGAAGCCTCCCCTTTCCCTTCAGTATACACTTACACTATTTTGTACAACTTTCATTTATAAAACTTAATACATTATAGAGTTCTGTGGTCTGAATGTATTCCCCCAAAATGCATATATTGAGACTTAGTCACCAGTGTGATGGTAAGAAGAGGTGGGGCCTTTAGGAGGTGATTAAGTCATAAGGTCAGAGCTCTCATGAATGGGATTAGTAACCTTATAAAAAAGGTTCAAGCCTGGGTGCAGTGGCTCACGCCTGTAATCCTAACAGTTTGGGAGGCTAAGTGGGGAGGATCACTTGAGCTCAGGAGTTTGAGACCAGCCTGGGCAACATAATGAGACCCTGTCTCTTAAAAAAAAAATAATTTAATAAAAAATTTTTAAACTTAATTTTTTCTTTTTTTTAATTCAAGAGAGCTGTCTTCCCCTTCCCCCACGTGAGGATGTAGCCACAAGGTACCATCTACGGAGCACAGAACAAGCCCTTAGCAGACACCGAATCTGCCAGTGCCTTGAGCTTGGACTTCCCAGACTACAGAACTATGAGAAATGAGTTTCTATTACTTATAAATTATGCAGTCTAAGGAATTGTGTGATAGCAGCCAGAGAGACTAAGACATTCTGGTTCACAGGACCTTATCAACAACTCAGACATCCCCAAACTGAAAACTGGACCTTATTTATTAACGTACTCAGTTCTTAAACTTGTCCTGAATGGATGTGAGGTTATTTATCATCTTTAAAAAAAAAATCTTATTTAGTGTGAATATCCATACATTTCACTGCAGCAATATTGTGTTTGATACTGAGGTGTTGCTGCAGGCCCCACTGGAGTACCATGAGAATCATGGCCCATATTACCTTTCTAAAATCTAATAAATCCTGAAATCTAAAACCTATATGACTCCCAAGGATTTGGGTGAGGGATTGTGGGCTTGTATTATGTTTCCTTGAGTATGTCCGCCTCTTCTGCTTAGCTGATATCTGTTAGGAGGGTACCATGCCCTAAACACGTCTGTATCCCAGATTCCAGCAGAGTGCCTGGTATGTGGTCGCATGAAGCAAAGTCTGTAGTGGCACACGTTGAGCTTATGAATTCCCATAACTCTATGGAGAAGTCCCACACCAAATTTTAAGGAGCAGATCGGATTTCAGAATTGCAGGGTAGAGTTCAGGTTACAACGACAGATTGCACATATGCGTCTAATTTTGCTCCCTCCTGAAACCTCACTGAAACTTCTGGAAGAGGAATACTTTTTTAAAAAGAGACATAAACCCACAATGTTGAGAAAAGCAGGATGGGAAAGCACGGCCACAAGAGGGGAGGGACGGGGGGTCACTGGTTGTCAGGCCTGGGAAAGCCTGACAAATGAGTCCCAGGCAGCCGTGGGAAGGCTGAGCATGGATGCGATTGACAGGACAGACTCTGCCAAAGACAGAGAGCTGGCAGCGCCAGGTCCCTCTGCGAGTGAAGGGGGTGATGGTGGTGCTAAAATAAGAAAGACTGGTGGGGGAAGTTATTTAGGAAGCTCTTAGACCCCTAGATCCCCTCCCACCTCACACCCCCGCGCCCCCACAGCGGAAGTCTGGAAGATTATTCTCAGGAGAGGGTAAAACAAAGCTGCTCTGAATCGGGGGATGCCAGGCACATTGAGGACATGAGTACTGCTCAGAAAAGCCAGGGATAAAGGAGTCAAATGTATCTTAATGTTGAACGTGGCAACACCATACGCATACCCTTCCAGGCCTGCCACTCTGCTTGTTTCCTGGGACCCTGACAACCAAACCCTTACCCCCCAGGCAGAGGACCGGAAGATGACTAGCTTAAAGAGAAAACAAGAACACTGGATTGGGTTTCCCAGCAAATAGCCACCCAGACCACCCTGCTGCAAAGTTTGAGTGGATGGTGCCTGGTGCTCAAGCTCCCAATTAACTTTGTAGCTTTTTATTGAGAAGAGAGCTAAGAAATACCTCACATTGAAGAAAAACCTTGAACATGGAAGAGAGAAACCAAAACAGACAGGACCAGACAGGATCAAAGCAACCAGGAAGAAACAGACACCATGGATCTGGTATGGTGTCTCACGCCTGTAATTCCAGCACTTTGGGAGGCTGAGGCGGGTAGATCACCTGAGGTCAGGAGTTCGAGACCAGCTTGGCCAACATGGTGAAACCTCTATCTCTACTAAACATACAAAAATTAGCCAGGCTTGGTGGTGTGTGCCTGTAATCCCAGCTACTTGGGAGGCTGCAGCAGGAGAATCGCTTGAACCCGGGAGGTGGAGGTTGCAGTGAGCTGAGATTGCACCACTGCACTCCAGTCTGGGTAACAGTGAAACTCTGTCTCAAAAAACAAAAAAGAAACAGACACCAAACACCATGCATGGAGTTAAAAAAAAAAATCATTTTGTCTTTAGAGAGATAAAAGATTATTGCATCCCACAACTGAAACAAAAACAGGGTTCCGTTTGGTAACATTCAAAGATTTAGAAAGAGCTTTAGAAATTAAAGATAGGATTGTTGACGCTTTAAAAAATCAATAAAAGGGTTGGAAGATCAAGTTGAGGAACCACTGAAGAAATTAGAGCAAGGGCCGGGTGCGGTGGCTCATACCTGTAATCCCAGCACTATGGGAGGCCGAGGCAAGAGGGTCACTTGAGCTCAGGAGTTCAAGACCAACTTGGGCAACATAAAAAAAGCCCTCTCTCTGGCCAGGCGCAGTGGCTCACACCTGTAATTCCATCACTTTGGGAGGCTGAGGCAGGCAGATCAGCAGATAGAGACCATCCTGGCTAACATGGTGAAACCGCGTCTCTACTAAAAATACAAAAAAACTAGCCAGGCATGGTGGCGGGCGCCTGTAGTCCCAGCTACTAGGGAGGCTGAGGCAGGAGAATGGCGTGAACCTGGGAGGTGGAGCTTGCAGTGAGCTGAGATCACGCCACTGCACTCCAGCCTGGGTGACAGAGCGAGACTCCGTGTCAAAAAACAAACAAACAAAAACCAAAAACAAACAAAACAGAAAAAAAAAAAGCCCTGTCTCTAAAAAAATAATAATAATTTTAAGTTAGCCAAGCATGGTGGCATGTACCTGCAGTCCTGGCTACTTGGGAAACTGAGATAGGAGGATCGCTTGAGCCCGGGAGTTCGGGGCTGCAGGGAGATGATCTCACCACTGCACTCCAGCCTGGGTGACAGAGCAAAAAAACAAAAGAAAGAAGAGAAATTAGAGCAACAAAGACAAAGAGACTGAAAATAGGAAAGAAGGCAGGTGCGGTGGCTCACACCTATAATCCCAACACCTTGGGAGGCCAAGGTGGGAGGATGACTTGAGTGGAGGAGTTCAAGACTAGCCTGGGCAACATAGTGAGATCCTGTCTCTGAAAAGAAAAGAAAATAAATGAAAATAAAAGGTGGAGGGGAGGGAAGGGCAGGGAAGGGCAGGTCAAGGAAGGGAAGGAAAGGGAAGGGAAGGGAGAAGGGAAGGGAGGAGGGAAGGGGGAAGGGAGAAGGGAAGGGAGGAGGGAAGGGGGAAGGGAGAAGGGAAGGGAGAAGGGAAAGGAGAAGGGAAGGGAGAAGGGAAGGGAGAAGGGACAGGAAGGGAAAAGGGAGAAGGGAAGGCAGAAGGGATGGGAAGGGAAAGGAAGGGAGAAGGGAAGGGAGAAAGGAAGGGAGAAGGGATGGGAAGGGAGAAGGGAGAAGGGAAGGGAGAAGGGATGGGAAGGGAGAAGGGAGAAGAGATGGGAAGGGAAGGGAGAAGGGATGGGAAGGGAGAAGCAGGGAAGGGAAGGGGGAAGGGAGAAGGGAAGGGAAGGGAAGGCAAGGGGGAAGGGAAGGGAGAAGGGAAGGGAAGGGAAGGGAAGAGAAGAGAAGAGAAGGGAAGGGAAGAGAAAGGAAGGGAATCCAGTCTGGGAGATCCAACATCAGAATAACAGGGGTTCTAGAAGAGAACAGAGAGAATGGGGAGGAAATCATTAATGATCAACTCAAGAAATTTTGCAGAATGCATATTTCTACACTGAAGAACCCTCACAAGTGCTGAGCAAGATGGATGAAAATAGACCCAAGTTAAGGTACGTTGCTGTGAAATTTCAGAATCCTGAGAGGAAAAAGGAAGATTCTATAAGCTTCCAGAGAGGGAAACACAGAATCAGAATAGCTTCAGTATTCCCATAGCAACACTGAGGGCTAGACGATGACCCAATGCTGTCAAAGGTTGGAATGAAAACGATCTGTAATCTGTAATGTAAAATTCTATTATCAGTGCAGGTATTAACCAGGTATGAATATTTGAAATGTTTAGACATAAAAATTTCCAAACATCTAAGATCTCAAAATACTTTCCCACGCAGGCTTTCTTGGCAAGCTACAGGAGGAGAAGCTCCATTGAAACAAAGAGTACAGATTAGGGAATGAGAAGATGTGGGTTCAGTAAGCCAGAGGTCTACTACATGAGAGAGTGACAGTCATACCCCAGACAGTGTGGAGGGAGGGCAACCAGTCCAACCAGTCCCCAGGAAGTCCTGTGACTCAGCAGATAGGCAGACATGTTTGGGTGTTACCACCAAGATCCTAGCTTGAGTTCAAGGAAGAAAATGCTGAGAGACGTGGAGTTTTAACTGTTGTCTAGGGCTGACTTGCCTTGACCAGGTGCTAGAAGAGTTTCTATTCTCCCTGCAGGCGTTTCAGCTTGGTGTTAGTGTTCAGCTTTGGCCCGCTCCAGAGACCTGAAGATAGACCAATGAGCGGAGAAGCGAAACAAACAAACAAACCAAAAAATGGAGCAGGCTCCTCTCCTTGAATGTTTTTCTGCCAGACTGCAGTTCACAGCTCACCCTACAGCTCTTTCAGAGGCCCCCATATCCACGGACTTCCCTGGAAGCCCCTCTTGCAGACAGCTGGAGCCAGACCGTGGATCCACACTTTCGGCCCATTTTCTCCTAGGAAACCTTACCTAGTAGTAGCAATATTGCCTTTTACTTACCATGTTTTGAGCTTGCTTCTTCGTTTTCCAAAACCAAACAAGATATGGATACACATAGATAGTAAAACTGCACAGGAGTGCAAGGGAATGTTTAACTAAAAAATCAGAATAGAGCCCTGGTTCAGTGACTCACACCTGTAATCCCAGCACTCTGGGAGGCTGAGACTGGAGGATCACTTGAGGCCAGGAGTTCAAGACCAGCCTGGGCAATATAGTGAGACCCTTTCTCTACAAAAATATAAATAAATTTTTTCTTTTTTTTTTTGAGACAGTCTTGCTCTGTCACCCAGGCTGGAGTGCAGTGGCATGATCTTGGCTCACTGCAACCTCTGCCTCACAGGTTCATGCAACTCTCCTGCCTCAGCCTCCCAAGTAGCTGGGACTACAGGCACCCACCACCACACCTGGATAATTTTTGTATTTTTTGTTTGTTTGTTTGTTTGTTTGAAACGGAGTTTCGCTCTTGTTGCCCAGGCTGGAGTGCAACGGCACGATCTCGGCTCACTGCAATCTCCGCCTCCCGGATTTACACGATTCTCGTGCCTCAGCCTCCCGAGTAGCTGGGATTATAGGCACCCACCATCATGCCCACTAATTTTTGTATGTTTAATAGAGACGAGGTTTCACAATGTTGGCCAGGCTGGTCTTCTACTCCTGACCTCAGGTGATCTGCCTGCCTTGGCCTCAAAAAGTGCTGGGACTACAGGCATGAGCCACCGCACCCCAGCCAATGAACTAATTTTTAAAATCTGAATAGAGGTTACCCTTGTAGGACTAGAAAGTGATGTTATCTTGGAGGGCCTATGGTAGAATTTTTAAGTGCTAGAAATATTTTTATTTTAATTTTTTTTTAATTTTTGTATGGAGATAGGGTCTTTGGGAGGCTGAGGCAGGAGAATCGCTTGAGCCCTGGAGGCAGAGGTTACAATGAAGGGAGACTGTGCCACTGCACTCCAGCCTGGGTGACAGAGCGAGACTCTGTCTCAAACAAAAAAAAAAAAAGAGAGAGAGAGAGAGACAGGGTTTCCTTATGTTGTCCAAGCTGTTCTTGAACTCCTGATCTCAAGCAGTCCTCCTGCCTCACCCTCCCCCAAATACTGGGATTACAGGCATGAGCCACTGCACCCCTTTTATTTCTTATTTATTTATTTTTATGCTTTAATTTATAGAGATGGGGTCTTGCTTTGTTGCCCAGGCTGGTCTTGACTTCCTGGCCTATCAATTCTTATATATTTATGATTCAATTCACAATAAAAACCTTTAAATCTAGGAAAAATTAGGGGATTTTAAGTGACAACTCAGAGATCAGATTTTTTTTTTTTTTTTTTTTTTTTTTGAGAATGAGTTTCACTCTTGTTGTCCAGGCTGGAGTGCAATGGCACTATCTTGGCTCACTGCAACCTCTGCCTCCTGGGTTCAAGCAATTCTCCTGCCTCAGCCTCCTGAGTAGCTGGGATTACAGGCACCCACCACCACGCCCAGCTAATTTTTGAATTTTTAGTAGAGACAGGGTTTCACCATGTTGGCCAGGCTGGTCTTGAATTCCTGACCTCAGGTGATCCGCCTGCCACGGCCTCCCAAAGTACTGGGATTACAGGTGTGAGCCACCATGCCCAGCCAGATATTTGATTTATAGGTTTATTTCTCCTATCACTCTGTTTAATGCTGGTAGCTACCCGTCCCCCATCACTCACACCCATCCCAGGCCCTTTCAATTCCTCTTACTCTGCTCTATTTTTTTTTTAATAGTTCTTATTAGCTTCTTCTATCCTCTAGAATAGTGGATCTCAACATTTTTGGTTCAAAAATTTTGATGTTAAATATTATTGAAGACTTCAAATAACTTGTTATAATGGGTTATATCTGTTGATATTTACCATATTTGAAATTAAAACAGAGAAAATTTCAAAAAACAGAATGACAAGCACACGTTCTTTTTTTTTTTTTTTTTTTTTTTTTTTTTGAGCCAGCATCTCACTCTGTTGCCCAGGTTGGAGTGCACTGGGGCGATCTGAGCTTACTGCAACCTCTGCCCGCTGGGTTCAAACAATTCCCCTGCCTCAGCCTCTGGAGTAGCTGGGACTACAGGCCCACGCCACCATGCCTGGCTAATTTTTGTAATTTTAGTAGAGACGGGGTTTCACCATGTTGGCCATGCTGGTCTCGAACTCCTGACCTCAGGTGATCTGCCTGCCTTGGCCTCCCAAAGTGCTGGAATTACAGGTGTGAGCCCCCGCACCTGGCCAGGCACACGTTCTATAAGCTGCTGAACATCATGTCACCTCTGGAAAGCTTCATTGTGCACTCAGGAGAGAATTAGAGTGAAAAAGGTAAATAACAATCGGCTTTTTTTCTTTTTACCTTGAGGATCCCCTGAAAGGGTCTTAGGGATCCCCAGGGACACCCAGATAACACTGAGAAACATTGTTTAGGACAATACCCAGCACATAGTGGGCACTGCTCAACACACACATACTTAGTGTCTGTTACACTGAAAGCCTTTTGCTAGGTGCTATTGGCGATACAAAAATAGGACAGAGTCAATCCCTCCTCTTGACTCACATGCCTCAGATTTCCTCACTGGGATTCTGGTAGTAGAATATTTGTATTCAACCCAATTCTCTGTTTCTAGAGAAGCCCTTTCAGGGTAGCAGTCCTGGTGTTAGTCCAAGAAGAGTCTATAGCCAGCCCACGCTGTCAACCAGTCTGGAGGCTGATAACGTACTCGGGCATTCCTTTCAAGACTAGTCGCTGTCTTGGAAATGGTGAAAGATGAACACGTATGGCTCCCATCTGAGCAGAGCCAAAGAAAGCAGTGGATGGAAGAGAGATGACCTCCCCAGAATGTGTCCTTGGGTAGGTCACTTTCCCAATCAGTTTCCTCCTCTGCTAATTGGGGTCGCACAAGTAGAGTCTAGTCCACAAGTGACAGCTGAGAGTGTTTCCACTGTTACCATTCTACAGTTCTATTAATGTCTGTGCAACTTATCTGGAGTCTAAGCGCTTAGTCATGAGTCTTCCATCTGATTAGTGTATGAACCCAGCTGAGCCACCTGTGGAAATGAGCCTGTTTCAGAGACATTTGATCTCCTTCCCAGAAAGCCCCAGGGCCACCGGAGACATTCCAGGTAGTGAGGCAATAAAAAAAAAAAAAAAAAAAAAAAGTAAAAAAACTCATCACCTGATGTAAAAAAGAAAACTAAGCCCACCTTCCATTTCATCTGGAATCCAATCTTGGCTAAGCCAAATGATGAAGTCATAGACGGACTCCAGCGAGAAGAGCTGATCTGATTCATTCCCATTTGTTTGGTTTATTCATTCATTCAACAAATATCTTTTTATTATTATTATTTTTTAGACGGAGTCTCCCTCTGTTGCCCAGGCTGGAGTGCAGTGGTATGATCTCAGCTCAGTGAAACCTCCGCCTCCTGTGTTCAAGCGATTCTCCTGCCTCAGCCTCCCAAGTAGCTGGGATTATAGGCACATGCCACCAGTCCTGGCTAATTTTTGTATTTTTAGTAGAGACAGGGTTTCCCCATGTTGACCGTGCTGGTCTCGAACTCCTGACCTCAGGTGATCCACCTCCCTTGGCCTCCCAAAGGGCTGGGATTACAGGCGTGAGCCACCGTGCCCCACCTTCAACCAATATTCTTGAGCAATCATCATTTGTTCTTTGCTGTGTAAGATCCTGAGAATATCATTTTGACTAAAAAGAGATCTCAGGCCCGGGCATGGTGGCTCACGCCTGTAATCCCAGCACTTTGGGAGGCCGAGGCGGGCGGATCACGAGGTCAGGAGATCGAGACCATCCTGGCTAACACGGTGAAACCCTGTCTCTACTAAAAATACAAAAAAAATTAGCCGGGTGTGGTGGCAGGCACCCGTACTCCCAGCTACTAGGGAGGCTGAGGCAGGAGAACGTCGTGAACCCAGGAGGTGGAGCTTGCAGTGAGCAGAGATCGTGCCATGCATTCCAGCCTGGGCGACGGAGCAAGACTCCGTCTCAAAACAACAACAACAACAAACAACAAGAACAACAAAGAGATCTCTACAAGCGAGTACTCATTTAGTTTTTCAAAATAATTAATTGCCAACATTGAAATATCTGGAGATTTCTCATAAAAATTCAAATTTCCAGCATTACATGAAAATTGGTTTGCTACTGCCCCTAGTTGCCTCCACTTGCCACAATCAGGCACTTACCCTGCCTGGCCCTTGTAGGTATCTGAGTTTGCCGCCCTTGATGTTCACTTGGAAGGGAGGCTAGACATGTTAATAAGTAAGGATGTGGCTGGTGCGGTGGCTCATGCCTGTAATCCCAGCACTTTGGGAGGCCAAGGAGGGCATATCACCTGAGGTCAGAAGTTCAAGACCAGCCTAGCCAACATCAACATGGTGAAACCCCCTGTCTACTGAAAATACAAATATTAGCTGGACATGGTGGCAGGTTCCTGTAATCCCAGCTACTCTAGAGGCTGAGGCAGGGAGAATCGCTTGAACCCAGGAGGTGGAGGTTGCAGTGGGCCAAGATTGCACCATTGCACTCCAGCTTAGGCGACAGAGCAAGACTCCGTCTCAAAAAAAAAAAAAAAGTACGGATGTGTTCAGTGCTTCACTGGAACTGTTGCAAAGTGCTAAGGAGGCATGAGGAGGGTGGGGATAGCGGGCATCAGGAAAGATTTCACAGAGTAAGGTGATGTATCACATGGGCCTTGAAGGAGTCCTTCACTCTGTGTTTCTTGACACACTTACTGTGTGTTCCAAACATTCCATTCCTAAAGTGGGGGTGGTGGGATGGGGATGGAGAGAATGAGGGAGAGAGATTCCAGCCTCCACAGAGCCCCCAGTCTGGGAGGGAGGCAGAGAGCAAAAATAGAATGTAGAATTCCAGTGCAATGCCTGTAAGGCATGCTACAGTGCCAAAGTAG
This sequence comes from Homo sapiens, assembly GCF_000001405.40. Taxonomy (NCBI): domain Eukaryota; kingdom Metazoa; phylum Chordata; class Mammalia; order Primates; family Hominidae; genus Homo; species Homo sapiens. The sequence goes on along the minus strand of NC_000022.11, from coordinate 36,047,392 downwards.
GGTCTTTTTAAAAAATTATTATTTTATTTTATTATTTATTTATTTATTTGAGACAGAGTTTCACTCTTGTTGCCCAGGCTGGAGTGCAATGGCGTGATCTCGGCTCACTGTAACCTCCGCCTCCCAGGTTCAAGTGATTCTCCTGCCTCAACCTCCCGAGTAGCTGGGATTACAGGCATGTGCCACCATGCCCGGTTAATTTTGTATTTTTAGTAGAGATGGGGTCTCTCCATGTTGGTCAGGCTGGTTTCGAATTCCCGACCTCAGGTGATTCGAAGGAGGCTCCCTGCCTCGGCCTCCCAAAGTGCTGAGATTACAGGTGTGAGCCACCGCGCCTGGTCTATTTTTTTTTTTTTTTTTTTTGAGACGGAGTCTCACTCTGTCACCCAGGCTGGAGTACAGTGGTGCAATCCTGACTCACTGCAACCTCCATCTCCCGGATTCAAGTGATTCTCCTGCTTCGGGACTGAGTAGCTGGGATTATAGGTGTGGGCCACCACACCCAGCTAATTTTTGTATTTTTATTAGAAATGGGGTTTCACCATGTTGGCTAGACTGGTCTTGAACTTCTGACCTCAAATGATCTGCCCACCTTGGCCTCCCAAAGTTCTGAGATTACAGATGTGAACCATCGCGCCCAGCCAATTATTTTATTTTTATTTTTGTTTTTATTTTTTGAGACAGGGTCTCGCTTTGTCACCCAGGCTGGAGTGCAGTGGTGCGAACATGGCTCAGTGCAGCCTCGACCTTCCTGGGCTCAAGCAATCCTCCCTCCTTAGCCTCCTGAGTGGCTGCGACTACAGGCACACACCACCATGCTTGGCTATTTTGTATTTTTTGTAGAGATGGGGTTTCACTATGTTGCCCAGGCTGGTCTCGAATTCCTGGGTAAGCGAATCCTCTGCTTCAGCCTTCCAAAGTGCTGAGATTCCAGGCATGAACCATCACGCCTGGCTCATCTAACATTTTTGTTGCTCATTTTTTCTCTCTCCTCACCAGAATATACATTTTAGGAGACTAGGGTTCTGGTCTGTCATCTTCATGGGTCACATTCCCAGTCCCTGGAACATTTCTGCCAATCAGGATCCACTCAGCATTTGTTGAATGTGAATGAACTATGCATGAAGCATGCTGATGGATACGAAGGGACAGTTGAGAAATTCTAAATTACAGGCTGGAAAGAAAGGGCTCCTGAGACATCCAAGGTGGAGACTGGCTGACCCCAGCTGTAATGGCCACAAAGTCAAGATGTTGACAAGAAGCCAGAAGCCTCTCCATAAGCATGTGGGGAGCCAGCACTGGGTGTCAGAGGTTCAGTGGCCAGAGATATCAATGTTATTGTTTAAGAGTAACTGGCACTCACATTGTCTGTTTTGTGCTGTAAGGCTGAGTAGGCAGAAGAAGAATTGCTCGGCCGGGCGCGGTGGCTCACGCCTGTAATCCCAGCACTTTGGGAGGCCGAGGCGGGTGGATCATGAGGTCAGGAGATCGAGACCATCCTGGCTAACAAGGTGAAACCCCGTCTCTACTAAAAATACAAAAAATTAGCCGGGCGCGGTGGCGGGCGCCTGTAGTCCCAGCTACTGGGGAGGCTGAGGCAGGAGAATGGCGTGAACCCGGGAAGCGGAGCTTGCAGTGAGCCGAGATTGTGCCACTGCAGTCCGCAGTCCGGCCTGGGCGACAGAGCGAGACTCCGTCTCAAAAAAAAAAAAAAAGAAGAATTGCTCAACAGAGTCAACATACAACCTACAGATTGAGAGAAAATTTTTGCAATCTATCCATCTGACAAAGGTCTGGTATGCAGCATCTATAAAGTACTTAAACAAATTTACAAGAAAAAAACAACCCCATTAAAAAATAGGCAAAGGGATATAAACAGACACTTTTCAAAAGAAGACATACTTGGGCCAGAAGCAGTGGCTCAAACCTGTACTCCCAGCCCTTTGGGAGGCCAAGGGGGCAGATTGCTTGAGGCTAGGAGTTTGAGACCAGCCTGGCCAACATGGTGAAACCCCATCTCTACTAAAAATACTAAAATTAGCCAGGCGTGGTGACGAGCGCCTGTAATCCCAGCTACTTGGGAGGCTGAGACAGGAGAATCACTTGAACCTGGAAGGCAGAGATTGCAGTGAGCTGAGACTGGGCCACTGCACTCCAGCCTGGGCGACGAGAGCAAAACTCCATCTCAAAAAAAAAAATAGAAGAAGAAAAGGAAGAAGACATACATGTAGCCAGCAAGCATATGAAAAAAACTCAACATCACTGATCATTAGAGAAATGCAAATCAAACCCGCAATGAGATACCATCTCACACCAGGCAGAATGGCTAATATTAAAAAGTCAAAAAATAACAGATGCTGGCGAGGCTGCGGAGAAAAAGGAATACTTATACACTGTGGAAGTGTAAATTCATTTAGCCACTGCGGAAACCAATGTGGTGATTCCTCAAAGACCTAAAAACAGAAATACCATTCAACCCTGTAATCCCATTACTGGATATATACCCAGAGAAATATAGACCAATCTATCATAAAGATACATGGATGTGTATGTCCATTGCAGCACTATTCACAATAGCAAAAACATGGAATCAACCTAAATGCCCATCAGTGGTAGACTGGATAAAGAAAATCTGGCACACATACACCGTGGAAGAGTACGCAGCCATAAAAAAGAGTGAGATCATGTCCTTTGCAGGAACATGGATGGAACTAGGGACCATCATCCTTAGCAAACTAACACAGGGACAGAAAACCAAATACCACGTTTTCATTTATAAGTTGGAGCTAAATGATGAGAACACATGGGCACATAGAGGGAAACAACAGACACTGAGGCCTATCAGAGGGTGGAGAGTGGGAGGAGGGAGAGGATCAGGAAAAATAACTAATGGGTACTAGGCTTAATACCTGGGTGATGAAAGACTGTGTACAACAAACCCCTATGACACAAGTTTAATATATAACAAACCTGCACATGTACCCCTGAACTTAAAAGTTTTTTTTTGTTTTTTTTTTTGAGACAGAGTCTCACTCTGTCATCCAGGCTGGAGTGCAGTGGTACGGTCTCCGCTCACTTCGAGCTCTGCCTCCCGAGTTTACACCCATTCTCCTGCCTCCACCTCCCGAGTAGCTGGGACTATAGGCGCCTGCCACCATGCCTGGCTAATTTTTTTAATTTTTTTTTTTATTTTTAGCAGAGACGGGGTGTCACCGTGTTAGCCAGGATGGTCTCGATCTCCTGACCTCATGATCCGCCTGCCTCAGCCTCCCAAAGTGCTGGGATTACAGGCGTGAGCCACCGCGCTTGGCCCAAAAGTTTTCTAAAAAAAGGAAATAGGTCTTTAAAAAAATATTTATTTTTAAAAAACTGACTAAACTTTGTCAATTTTTGTATATATTTATGGTGTACAGTGTGATGTTTTCATATATGTATACATTGTGGAATAATTAAATCAAACACATTATATATCCATAATCTCATATACCTACCATTTTTTGTGGTGAGAACATTTAAAATCTACTCTCCAAGTATATAATACATTAGTGGACGGGCATGGTGGCTCACGCCTGTAATCCCAGCACTTTGGGAGGCCGAGGCGGGTGGATCACCGGAGGTCGGGAGTTCGAGACCAGCCTGGCCAACATGGTGAAACCCCGTCTCCACTAAAAATAGAAAAATTAGCTGGGTGTGGTGGTGGGCGCCTTGGGTACCTCCCAGCTACTTGGGAGGCTGAGGCAGGAGAATCGCTTGAACCCAGGAGGCAGAGATTGCAGTGAGCCGAGATCATGCCACTGCACTCCAGCCTGGGCGACAGAGCGAGACTCCATCTCAAAAACAAAACAAACAAACAAATAAAACGTTAGTATAACTATAGTCACCATGTTGTGCAATACATCTTCAGAACTTATTCCTCCTGTCTAACAGAAACTTTCTACCCTTTGACCAGCAACTGCCATTCCCTTCTCCCCGACCAGCTCTGGAAACCACCATTCTCCTCTCTGCTTCTCTGAATTCAACTTTTTTAGATTCCACATAAAGCGAGATCAGGCGGTGCTTGTCTTCCTGTGCCTGGCTTATTTTATTTAGTGTAATGCTCACTCATGTTGCGAATGACAGGATTTCCTTCTTTTTTAAAGGCAGAATAGTATTCCATTGTGTATACACACCACAGGTTTTTTTTTTTTTCTATTGCTCAGGAAATAGGACTTTGAGAGGAGAAACTTCCATTCCTGTTTTAGGTGAGTTCCTTCGAAACAGAGCTTGACCCAGGGATTTGGGTGCATTGGTTTATTTGGGAGGTGATCTCAGGTTGCTCAGTGAGGCAGTGGGCAACGAAGATAGAGGAGGAAAAAAAGAGAGGAAAATGGACATTAATAGGCAAGTTACCATTGTGGACAAACAGCGCTCACTCCCACTGTGTCCTCCGAGAGACTGTGTCTCTTAAAATTATCCTACCGCCAGGTGCGGTGGCTCACACCTGTGAGCACTTTGGGAGGCCGAGGCGGGAGGATCATCTGAGGTCAGGAGTTCAAGACCAGCCTGACCAAAGTGGCAAAACCCTGTCTCTTCTAAAAAAAAAAAAAAAAATAGCCAGGTGTGGTGGCACTGGCGCATGCCTATAGTCCCACCTACTCAGGAGGCTGAAGCAGGAGAATCGCTTGAACACAGGAGATGGAGGTTGCTGTGAGCCAAGATCGCACCACTGCACTCCAGCCTGGGCAACAGAGCGAGACTCCAACTCAAAAAAAAAATTGTCTTACCAACAGGTGAGGAAGCTGAGGAATGTATACACGACTTCTTCCCCTCCTTGGGTAAGGTCTGCTCCTGGCAGGTGGTGGGGAGGGTTAGCTCTCCAGCATTCTGGGCTTGTCCTGCTCATAGGCCCAACATGCCCTACAGCCAGAGGCAGCAACCTGGCAGGCATTGAAGTTGGGAAGCAGATGATGTATGTGGGATGTGTGGGAACCGTCAGCAGAACCCGCAGGGAACATCCACAGTAGGCCAAGGGGGTGTGCGTGTGGCAACAGCATCTGTTGCTTCTCCTTTGGCCTTTGGGTACAGATTGGGAAAACGAAATCCCATGTCTTTGTCTTATCTCCAGGAGGGGTGTAGTAGAGTGGGTTATTATTCAAAAATATTCCTTGCCCTTCCCTTTGGAGGATGAAATATCCCCGCCCCATTGAAGGCAGGTTTGGCCAGGTCACTTGCTTTGGCCAACAGAATGAGAGCGGAATACCAGTGTGGCCCTTGTATCTTCTACAGTGTCTCCCTCTCTTCCCTCTGACACAGACCAGCCTAGCAGTGGCCATTAGCCTGGGTCCCAGAGTGAAGACAACATACAGCCAACCCACAATGGGTGGGTGAACAAGAACCTTTGTTCTTTTTTATTTTATTTGAGATAGAGTCTCACTCTGTTGCCCAGGCTGGAGTGCAATGGCGCAATCTTGGCTCACTGCAACCTCCACCTCCTGAGTTCAAGCTATTCTCCCACCTCAGCCTCTTGAGTAACTGGGATTATAGGAGCACGCCACAACACCCAGCTAATTTATTTATTTATTTATTTATTTAAGACAGAGTTTTGCTCTTGTTGTGCAGGCTGGAGTGCAATGGCGTGATCTTGGCTCACCACAACCTCCGCCTTTGTGTTCAACTGATTCTCCTGCCTCAGCCTCAGGAGTGGCTGGAATTACAGACTAATTTTTGTATTTTAAGTAAAGATGTGGTTTCACCATGTTGGTCAGGCTGGTCTCGCGCTCCTGGCCTCAGGTGATCCACTGGCCTTGGCCTCCCAAAGTGCCGGGATTATAGGCATGAGCCACTGCACCCGGCCTCAGCTAATTTTTTGGTATTTTTAGTAGAGATGGGGTTACACCAGGTTGGCCAGGCTGGTCTCAAACTCCTGACCTCAAGTGATCCACACCCCTCAGCTTCCCAAAGTGCTGGATTACAGGCATGAGCCACCGCGCCTGGCCTGTTCTTGTTCTTTCTGGTTGTAAGTCACTGACCATTTGGGGCTGTTTGTTCGTGCTGCATATCTTAGCCAAAGCTGACAGATGGAGTGATTTCTGGAAATGGCTTGGCTCAACTCCTTCCTGCCCTTTTCCTTAAATTTGCCTCACCACTGAGAAGGAGATTTCTGGTTTGCTTTTTGTCAAGCGGTAGCTTCTGGTTTTCCAGCTATGCCAACGGTCGTTGAGTCTATCTAATGCAAGAGTCAAGGCTCATAGCACATTCTTCCAACACAGCACATCCATTCATAGCACAACCTAGGCTGCACGCCCAGTTCAGCTGCATACTCAAACCTAGTGTTTATTGGTAATAAATCAAACATTTTGATTTCCTCTCTCTGTCTCCTGTGTCTGTCCTAAATTGGTTCCTGACTTGATGGGGAAGAGAGGTGTTATTTATTGAGCTCCTTCAAACCCCAAAAACCTTTCTGCGTGATTCCAGTCTTAGCGATTGAAATGGTTTGGCTGTGTCCGCACCCAAATCTCATCTTGAATTGTAGTTCCCATAATCCCCAAGTGTTGTGGGAGGGACCTGGTAAGAGGTAATTGAATCATGAGGGCAGTTTCCCCATCCTGTTCTTGTGATGGTGAATCTCGTGAGTTTTTTTTGAGATGGAGTCTCATTCTGTTGCCCAGGCTGGAGTGCAGTGTTGTGATCTTGGCTCACTGCAACCTCCGCCTCCCAGGGTCAAGTGATTCTCCCACCTCAGCCTCCTGAGTAGCTGGGATTTTAGGCACCTGCCACGGCACCCAGCTAATTTTTTTTTTTTTTCTTTTTGAGACAGTCTCGCTCTGTCACCCAGGCTGGAGTGCAGTGGCATGATATCGGCTCAGTGCAACCTCCGCCTCCTGGATTCAAGCAATTCTCCTGTCTCAGCCTCCCAAGTAGCTGGAACTACAGGCACACACCATCATTCCCGGCTAATTTTTGTATTTTTAGTATCGTGCACCAGCCACATCCTTACGTATTAACATGTCTAGCCTCCCTCCCAACTGAACATCAAGGGCAGCAAACTCAGATTACAGGCATGAGCCACCACGCCCAGTGATCTGACGGTTTTATAAGTGGCTTTTCTCTCCTTCATTCTGCACTTCTCCTTCATGGTGCCATGTGAAGAAGAACACGTTTGCTTCCCCTTCCATCATGACTGTAAGTTTCCTGAGGTCTCCCCAGCCGTGCTAAACTGCGAGTCAATTAGAACTGTTTCCTCTACAAATTACCCAGTCTCAGGTATTTCTACATAGCAGTGTGAGAACGAACTCATACAGTAAATTGGTACCTTAGACTGTGGGGTGCTGCTATAAATAAACCTGAAAATGTGGAAGCAACTTTGGAATTGGGTAACAGGCAGAGTTGGAACAGTTCGGAGGGCTCAGAATAAGACAGGAAAGTGTGGGAACATTTGGAACTTCCTAGAGACTTGGTGGGCTCAGAAGACAGAAAGATGTGGGAAGGTTTGGAACTTCCTAGAGACTTGTTGAATGGCTTTGACCAAAATGCTGATAATGATATGGACAATAAAGTCCAGGCTAAGGTGGTCTCAGATGGAGATGAGGAACTTGTTGGGAACTGGAGTAAAGGTCACTCTTGCTATGCAGAGAGACTGGTGGCATTTTGCCCCTGCCCTAGAGATCTGTGAATCTTTGAACTTGAGAGAGATGAGTTAGGGTATCTGGTGGAATAAATTTCTAAGTGGCAAAGCTTTCAAGAGGAAGCACAACATAAAAGTTTGGAAAATTTGCAGCCTGACAATGCAATAGAAAATAAAAATCCATTTTCTGTGGAGAAATTCAAGCTGGCTACAGAAATTTGCTACAGAAATTCAAGCAGGCTACAGAATATCAGTAACTGATAAGCACCATTTTAAGTGACAAAAGTGGGAATGGGCAAAGGGGCATGCCTTCTGGAAAATGATTTCCACCTTGCCATTCTATATTTCCTACTTTTTTCTCTCTACCTCCGTTGCTCTTCCCCATAAGACCTAAAATAGCAAATGGCCTGAGTTTTACGAGATTGTGTTGGTTAACAGGTTTTTCATTCATTCAATTATTGCTTATTGAGTGTCGCAATATGTCAATTATTATTCCAGGCTGATTGAAAGAAAAGAATTGAGGTGTCATTCTTGTTTTCTTTCCCATCACTCTCCTTCAATATCAAGCTTTGACTGTTGTCCAAAAATAATATTTATTTATTTATTTATTTATTTTGGAGATGATGTCTTGCTCTGTTGCCCAGGCTGGAGTGCCATGGCCTGAACATGGCTCACTGTAGCCTCAACGTTAACCTCCTGGGCTCATGCAATCCTTCCACCTCAGCCTCTTGAGTAGCTGGGACCACAGGTGTTCATCACCACACCTGGCTAATTATTTTTATTTTTGTAGAGGTGGAGGTCTCACTATGTTTGCCCAGGCCGATCTTTAACTCCTGGCCTCAAGTGATCCTCCCGCCTTGGCCTCCCAAAGTGCTGGGATTACAGGCGTGAGCCACTGCACCTGGCCCAAAGATAATATTTAATATTATCTTAAAATTGGCATGCATGTTATGCACCTTCAACTTCATAGATTTTAATCAAAGCAGTCAGGCTTTTGATTCCTCATCTCTGGCTTTTTAAATATATTGATTATGAGGCAGAACAATATTTAGATATTATATTAGTCAGCATAAAGAACACAAGCTGCTATAAAAACAAAAACAACAACAACAAGCGAAAACCAAACCTCAGCGGCTTAACAAAATTAAGGCTTATTTCTCTCTCATATCACAGTCTGATGCAGCTGGGGCGGCTTCCTTTTTTTTTTTTTGACAGAGTCTTGCTCTGTCACCCAGGCTGGAGTGCAGTGGCGTGATCTCGGCTCACTGCAACCTCCACCTCCCAGGTTCAAGTAATTCTCCTGCCTCAGCCTCCCAAGTAGCTGGGATTACGAGTGCCCACCACACCCAGCTAATTTTTCTATTTTTAGTAGAGACAGGGTTTCACCATGTTTGCCAGGCTGGTCTTGAACTCCTGACCTCAGGTGATCTGCCCGCCTCAGCCTCCCAAAGTGCTGGGATTACAGGCATGAGCCACCGTGCCAGGCCTGGGGCAGCTTCTTATGCAGTTCTCCTCCAGTCGATGACTCAGGGATCCAGGCTCCTTTCCTCTTGTGATGCTTCTGTCTTCAGCTCATGGTCTCTGCAGCTGCTGTGGAAGGAAAAGAGAGGGCTAGAGGATTGGCAGGGATGTTTTTGGGGCCAAGCTTAGAAGTGGCCCCTGTCACTTTTACCCATCTTCCCCTGGCCAGAATGTTATCATATATCCCCATCCTGACTCCCGGGGAGGCTGGAACTATCTCCCTGAATTCACAGCAGAAGGACGTAGTGCAGACATTGTCATTGCTGAAAAATATTAACATATGTTCTTCCTCCCTCACTCTCCCAGGTATCTTCTGCTGTTCTCGCCCTCAGGAATAAAACTATTATAGTGGAAATGCAAAGAGAAGAAGAGTCTGAACTCAGCTTTTGAATTTCAAAATATGTTTTGAAATGTGTGGCTGGAGAGAAAAGTCTCTGTGTTTCAAAAGCCTCATCTTTTGTACTCCAAAAGTTTGAAACCTACATGATTCTGGACATGAAGTCTATGTCCTACAAAATCCAGAGGTTCAAACGAAGCAGAATCAGCCAGGATAGGTTTGGCAGCCCCACCTGGGAGAGGCAAAGGCAGCAGGGGCTGAGGAGAGAGGGGAGGCGAACCAGAGTCTTGTATGGGTCTCTGGAGGATCCTCCTCGCTTGCCTCTTTACAGATGGAGCCTCAGGGAGGAAAGAGGGAGAAACGGAGCCCAGGGGTCACTGTGGCATCTGGAAGGAGCAAAGACCTGAGCCTGGCTTCTCTTTACAGGCCCTGGAGGCGGTGGCTTTTGCAGTGTTTCCCCTCCCAGCGCGATGTCCAAGGAGTAAGGATGCCTCCTCTGTGTCTACATTGCAGGGGCTGGAGACAGCCTCTTGGAGCGTCCCAAGGCCCCCAGAACAGTGGGAAAACCCAAGGTTTCCCCATGTCCTTGACAGAGGCAATCTCAGTGCCTCAACAACAAGGATCAGATAGGTCAGCTGGGTGGAGCCCAGTGCGGATCGATACTGACAGCAGGACAGGGACCCAGAGGAAGATACCTGAGCAGGTGCCAGCAGGGACAAGGAAGACAATGAAGACCCCATGCCTCAACAAAACAAAAATTCAGAAGCTTATGCTCCCAGTGGAAAGCAGGATGAAGAAGTTATTAACTTCAGGTTCAGAGAAAAAAATGTTAGACTTTTTTGTCCCCTCTTCCCTATGAGATTTGTATCTGCCCAAAGTAAAACACCCTAAAAAGTTCTGAAAGGCACAGGGTGAAGCACTGGAAGGCAGTGGACATGGAGTGGGGGGACAAGAGTTTCTTTGTCACTAACCATCTTGTGTAACCTTGAGCTGGTCGTTTCACCTCTCTGGGTCTCAGTTTTCTCATCGGTAAAATAAGATGTAATACTACCTGCTTCTCTGGTCGGTTGTGAGGATTAAACGAAAAAAAAAAATCCAAAAAACAAAACCAAAAAAACCCCACTTAGTTTTGCACCTGGTAGTTGTTATGGGCTCAGCAAATATCTGACCCTTCCCTGCCTTTCCCCAGTGAAAGGAAATTGTTGCCGATTTAGAAACACCATAATTTTTGCAGGAAGGATGGATCCATGAGGTTATGTATACCAGCGCCTGGAAAACAAAATAAAACAAAGCCTTCTTCCACTCTGAAGAAGCAATAAAAACCTCAAGGCAAAAAACAGACAATGAAAATGACTTGAGAGCAGGGTGGGGGGTGGTGGGCAGGGTGAGGGCGGCGACTGCACTAAATGAAAAACAACAATTCAATACCCTGCTATCATCCTTCATCAAACTACAGAAATAGAAACCAGACAAACACATTATGTGAAGGGCAAAAGGGCTGGCAAGGTTCTGGCCTATAGGAAAAACCCTGGTTCAATAATCCCACGAACAGAGGGAGGTAGGGAAGTGAGGTCAAAGTCAATAGCGAGTATTTTTTTGTCAGAACGCTGGTTCTATAGCCCTAATGAGGCTTAAACATCACTCGTTCCTTTTTTGCTGAATTCAGTTTCTCATTAGACTCTGTATCTTCTCCCAGATCAGCCAGGCACATGGCAGGAGCTGCTTCCACTTCCTCTGGCCCATGAATTATCAAGGGTATTCTCTGAATTTTTTTTTTTTTTTTTGAAAAGAAAGCTTTGGAGTAGAAAATGGTCTCTTCTATTTATATCTCCTCTCTTCGCTCTGATTAGAGAGGTGATCAATTTTGGGGAAGGACTTAGACCCTGTCTTTATTCAGAGGACTGCCTGGTTAAGACAGTATTTTAAGATTATCTGCTCCGGGTCTTTATCTGTTTTTCTAGGGAAAATCTTAGGTCTGCAGTTGTGTTTTTTAATATCTTCAGGAGTCTTGGAATAGCCAAGTTTTATGTCAAGCTCAGTGCTAGGTGCTAGGAACACAGAAACAAAAAACAGGAATTAGGAAAGTGATCATGTTCTCAAAGAACGCAAAGAGATTTTACACCACCAGCTTGTAGGTAACCAGACTACTGGGTTAGCTGCAACTGGCATTTGAATAGATCTTTCCCAAGATCTCTTATCTCCTAAAGACCTCGCAATAGCCCTGTGGCTAGGTACTCTGGCTCGCTTTTCACAGATGGACAGCCCACTTAACTCTCCCAGTCTTTGTTCTATTGAAGACCGCAGCTGACTCCAGTCCTGGTCCTTTGACTCCAAGCCCTGTGCTGAGTTTTCTCCTGGTAGCAACCCAGTGGGCAGTGCCAAACTCTTCTAAGCCCATGGAAAGGGCACACAAGAATTTACTACCTTTTATCAGAAACCATTCCCTGGGAAATTCCTCCTCATTTTGAAAGAGCCAGGTCAAATGTAACACTCTGGGTGAAACTTGTTCTCTCTCCCCCAGGCAGACGGAGTTACATCTTTCTGTAATACCCCTATTGCTTTTGGCATATATAATAATCATATTAATAAAGATAGTAGATGCAATAGCGTAGTAAAAGGGTCTAAATTAACATTTATTGAGTGTGTTTGTGAACCAGGTGTCATGCTAAGTGTTTTACATGCATTATTTAGTGGTCAAAAGAATGTCAGGGGAGGTACTATTATTGTGTTTGGTTTATAGATCATATCAGTTAGGAGTTGAGTTTGGCCACATGTTGAAACCTGTCCGCAGTGGCTTAACCAAATGAGGACTTATTTTTCTCAAATAACAATAAATTAGCATAGACAGGCTCGGGCTGGTATGGTGGATCTACAATACTATTCTTTTTTTTTTTTTTTGAGACAGAGTCTTGCTCTGTCACCCAGGCTGGAGTGCAGCGGTGTGATGTCAGCTTTCTGCAACCTCTGCCTCCTGGGTTCAAGCGCTCCTCATGCCTCAGCCTCCCAAGTAGCTGGGACCACGTTGCACCAACACGCCTGGCTAATTTTTGTATTTTTAGTAGAGATGGGGTTTCGCCATGTTGACCAGGCTGGTCTCGAACTCCTGACCTCAAGTGATCTGCCTGCCTTGGCCTCCCAAAGTGCTGGGATTACAGACATGAGCCACCCTTCCCTGCAGTACTATTCTTAGCATGTGGCTTCTGCTATTTTGAAGACAAGATGTCTGCTGTTTTTCCGGTGTGTGTTCCAGGCAGGAGAAAGGGTGAAGGGCAAAGGACAAAGGGCAAAGAGCCTTTTCTTCTTTTCTTCTTGTGGCTTTGTCTTTTTTTTTTTTTTTTTTGAGACAGAGTTTCCCTCTTGTTGCCCAGGCTGGAATGCAGTGGCACAATCTCAGCTCGCTGCAACCTTTGTCTCCCGGGTTCAAGCGATTTTCCTGCCTCAACCTCCCAAGTAGCTGGGATTACAGGCATACAGCACCACGCCTGGATAATTTTTTGTATTTAGTAGAGACAGGGTTTCACCATGGTCAGGCTGGTCTCGAACTCCTGACCTCTGGTAATCCACCCGCCTCAGCCTCCCAAAGTGCTGGGATTACAGGCGTGACCCACCATGCCCAGCGGTTTTGTCTTATTAACTAGGAAGGAATGCTATCTTCCACCCACATCTCGCTGGCTAGGATGGTGTTACGTGGCCACCCTTAGCTTTCAGGGAACCAGAGAATTTTTTTTTTTTTTTAATTGCTAAGCAGATTTCTGTCCTGAACAAAATTGGGGTTCTGCTAGGATGGAGTAAGAGGAGAATGGATATTGGGTTGGTAACTACCAGTGCCTGTCACATAAATGAAGAAACCAGGCCTCAGAGATGCTAAGGTCTTGTCCAAGGTAAGATATATGGCAAAGTCAGACTCAGACCCATGTCAGTTTGACATCAGAGTCTATGTTCTTGGCCACTGTGAGAGATGACTCCCTTATCATAATGCATTGCAATTGTCTTTGGATTTGTTCATCTCTTCCTCCCTAGATTGTGAGCTCTTTGGGACTAAGAATAATTTTTTTTTTGTCATCTTGGTATTCCAGACACTTGCCCATAATTTGTTGAATGAATAAGTGAATAAATGTTAGAACTGCAACAGTTTCTGCAGCTAAAAATTCTTTCTAGGAAAATATTTTTATTTATTTATTTTTTAGACAGAGTCTCACTCTGTCACCCAGTCTGGAGTACAGTGGCATGATCTCAGCTCACTGCAACCTCTGTCCTCCTGAGTTCAAGCTATTCTCCTGCCTCAGCCTCCTGAGTAACTGGGATTACAAGTGCACGGCACCACACCCAGCTAATTTTTGTATTTTTTAGTAGAGACGGGGTTTTGCCATGTTGGCCAGGCTGGTCTCGAACTCCTGAGCTCAGGTGATCTGCCTGCCTCGGCCTCCCAAAGTGCTGGGATTACAGGCATGAGCCAGTGACCGAAAATATTTAATGTCCTCTTCCTCTGTAATGTTTCCTAACTACCTGCTTCTAAACAAATGGCTGCAGATGTATATAAAAGAAATGATCGGCCGGGCACGGTGGCTCACGCCTGTAATCCCAGCATTTGGGGAGGCCGAGGCGGGCGGATCATGAGGTCAGGAGATCAAGACCATCCTGGCTAACATGGTGAAACCCTGTCTCTACTAAAAATACAAAAAATTAGCCGGGTGTGGTGGTAGACGCCTGTAGTCCCAGCTACTCGGGAGGCTGAGGCAGGAGAACGGCGTGAACCCGAGAGGCGGAGCTTGCAGTCAGCCAAGATTGCACCACTGCACTCCAGCCTGCGCAACGGAGCAAGACTCTGTCTCAAAAAAAAAAAAAAAAGAAAAAAAAAAGAAAAGAAATGATCTGGTCTTTGTGCTGCCATGGATGCATTTTGCCTCTTCTATGATTTGTAGGCGTTTAACTCTCCTCTTTCTCCTTAAATACATAATGCTTGTTTCCAGGGCAGGGTCCAATTTTTCTTTGTTCTGCCTGGTCATTCAGACATTTCTATACTGCATTGCTCTGTTTCTAAGGGACTTGAGCGTTACCTGAATAACAAAAATTTGAGTCACTGGCAGCCCCGATCTCAAATCTCATTTCTTGCTGGGTCAGGGGACAGCCCAGGAAGATCTAACATCATTAAGATTTCAGTAGTTTGGCAAGGCAAGCAGGGAAGGGAGAATTCTCTTTTTTTGGAGAGAGAGTCTCACTCTGTAGCCCAGGCTGGAATGCAGTGGCGCGATATCGGCTCACTGCAACCTCTGCCTTCCAGATTCAAGCAATTCTACTGGCTCAGCCTCTTGAGTAGCTGGGATTACAGGCAGCTGTCACCACACCTGGCTAAATTTTTTGTATTTTTAGTAGAAATGGGGTTTCACCATTTTGCCCAGTCTGGTCTTGAACTCCTGACCTCAAGTGATCTGCCCGCTTCGGCCTCCTAAAGTGCTGGGATTACAGGTGTGAGCCACCATGCCCAGTTGGGAAGGGAGAATTCTTATGCTACCAGTTCAATAAGTAAAAATTTCAGAAGACCAACTGCTGATGTCCCTAGGTTAAAGAAAAAAAAAAAAAAGACAAAACCCGCTGTTGTTTCATAGGCCACCAGGAAATATCCTGGTTATCCCTCAAAGCCATACTGCTTGGTTGAACAGGATCAGGTTGTGGGGTACTGCCAAGTGGAAACCGCTGACTTAGGTTGGGGCTAATTCAGCACAAGAACAAGCTTGTAGGCACTTGGACTTCCACCTTGGTGGTCCAAATAATAATACTAAGAGATGTGTCAGGGCTGGGCGTGGTGGCTCACGCCTGTAATCCCAGCACTTTGGGAGGCTGAGGCGGGAGGATCAGTTGAGGCCAAGAGTTTGAGACCAGCCTGACCAACATGGTGAAACCCTGTCTCTGCTAAAAATACACAAAGTTAGCTGGGCATGGTGGTGCGTGACTCTAATCCCAGCTACTTGGCAGGCTGAGGCAGGAGAATCGCTTGAATCTGGGAGGCGGGGGTTGCAGTGAGCTGAGATTGGGCCACTGCACTCCAGCCTGGGAGACAGTGAGATCCTGTCTCAAAAAAAAGAAGAAGAAGAAGAAGAAAGAAGAAGAAAGAAGAAAGAAGAAAGAAGAAAGAAGAAAGAAGAAAGAAGAAGAAGAAGAAGAAGTTGTTTAAGGCTTCTCTTTCCAAGGCCCCTGGTTAAGCTTACTGTATCACTAACCAAATTAGTTGATGAATAATTACCACCTATTAAGCAGTTACTATGTTAGGCACTGTGCTAAGTGTTTACTTTTGTCCCATTTAATCCTTAGAACAACACTGTGACTATTATTGTTATCCTACAAATGAGGAATGGAAGGCTTAGTGAAACAAAGTAATTTGCCCAGCATAGTGGTTGCACCAAGGGGTTACTGGGGTGCTTTGCTTGCCGCATGTGAATCTCTAGCAGCCCCACTCAAGTCACCTTACATAATTAAAAAAAACCCAATAATAATGATAATGATATTCTTTGATCTTGACAATGAATGTTTTTTCACTCTCATTTAAAATGTGAATAAAGGTCAGGCCTGGTGGTTCATGCCTGTAATCCCAGTACTTCGGGAGGCCAAAGGGGGGGAATCACTTGAGGTCAGGAGTTCGAGACCAGCCTGGCCAACATGGTGAAACCCTGTCTCTACTAAAAATACAAAAAATTAGCCGGGCGTGGTGGTGGGCGCCTGTAATCACAGCTCCTTGGGAAGTTGAGGCACAAGAATTGCTTGAACCCAGGAGGTGGAGGTTGCAGTGAGCCGAGATCACACCACTGCACTCCAGTCTGGGTGACAGAGCGAGACTCCATCTGAAAAAAAAAAAGTGAATAAAGTGATAATGGTACTACTAATAAGCTATTATTAGTTAGCTATAAGTGTTAGCTGTAACACTTATGGAGCGCTTATCCTAAATCATTCCGTTCAAAGTTCTAAACGTGATAACATTAAATTCTTACAATAATCTTTTCAGGAAGGTATTATTGTTATCCTAATTTGCAGATGAAGAAACTGAGACACAGAGGGGGTAAGTAGCTGTCACAAGGCATCATGACTTGCAGGTGGCAGAGCTAAAACTCTGCTATTTTTACTGATTTATAACACAGCCTAAGTAATACAAACAATATGCTCAATACAACAACTCACCTTCAAGGCAAGTCCTCCCGACTTCCCTTCCAACCAGTCTGCAATCCCCAAACACCTTTTATATGGAAGTTCTTAGTCACCACTGGTCCCAGATTACGTGGGCAGGAGGTGGGAAGCCTGCGTTCTCATCTGGGTTGGTCTGACTCTGAAGCAGGGATCTTTACTGTTGTACTGTTCCAGCCCCAGCCAGGTTAAACCCAGGTTCAAAGGCCAAATCACACACTGGTTGGAAATGACCTTGGAAATCATCTAACCCAGCGTTTCTCAACCTCCGCACTATTGACATTTGGGGTTGGATAACTCTCCTGGGGGGACCGTCCTGTGCATGATAGGATGTCAAGCAACATTCCTGGCTTCTACACACTAGATGCCAGCAGCACCTCCCCACTGTAACAATCAAAAATGCCTTCAGTCGGCCAGGCGCGGCAGCTAACTCCTGTAATCTCAGCACTTTGGGAGGCCGAGGCAGGCGGATCACCTGAAGTCAGGAGTTCGAGACCAGCCTGGCCAACATGGTGAAACCCCATCTCTACTAAAAATACAAAAATTAGTTGGTGGCGCACACCTGTAGTCCCAGCTACTGGGGAGGCTGAGGCAGGAGAATCGCTTGAACCCAGGAGGCAGAGGTTGCAGTCAGCCGAGATCGCGCCACTGCACTTAAGCCTGGGCGACAGAGCGAGACTCTGTCTCAAAAAAAAAAAAAAAAAAAAAAAAAAAAATGCCTTCAGTCACTGACAAATGTGGGAGTGGAGGTGGTGGAATGGCAAAATTTCTCCTTGGTTGAAAGCCACTGATCCAAACCATCTCATTTTACAAATGATGGAGCTGAGGTCCAAAGAGATGAAGTAACTTGTTTAAGCTAGTTAGCAAAGCCAAGATTAGAATCCAGGTTATTCACGCAATATCCTTTTATTTCTATAACGTACAGGGCACGATATGGAACTCAGAGGAAGTCACTGCAGTCCTTGTCCTCACAGTCTGGTAGGGGAGAGAATCTATTGCACAGATATCTCTATCTCCACGAAGTTGGTAAGTCATAAAGTGCTCCTCAGGCAGCAAGGTACGAAGAAAGAGAATATGTTCTCGTGTTCTGAATTCCGGATCTGCCACTTTTTTGCTGCAGGATTTAACTAAGGTTCAGTTTCATCATCAATGAAATGGAGATCATGGTATCTACTTATATCACCAGTTTGAAACGGGTCTGTGGATGCATTGTGCAAACTCTAAAGCTCTTACAAACATCGGGTATTATTACTAACTTCATTAGGAATGTGAGTTATATTAGAGTAAAAGCTCTCAGAACTGGGGTGAACCATAGAGGGGTGGCTTCATTCCTCGACCTTCCAATTTGAGACATTTTTTCTTCTGCGGGAGGGGAAGCAGGCAAATAGCCTGCCTCTCACAGAGTGCCCATTCCCTCTCCGGGAACCAAGGTGCTCAGGCGAGTAAACTCAGGACTTAACTCTGTACAACTAGTACCGCAAGCAGGAGCCACTCCCTGGCCTTCGGGTCTCTCAAGCCCCGCCTGCTCCAGGATACGGCCCCGCCCAGAAAGGAGACAGACCCCGCCCCCCCCGCGCTGCCCCGCACTCCAGCCGCGCTGTGCCTCCAGGACAATCCCAGGCCCGTGCCGGAGATTCCCGAGCTTCCCCGATCGCTTCCCGGCCTCCCTCGGGCAGCCAGCGAGGAGACTACGGAGATTGCCGAGGGGGCCTGGCCCCGCCCCCCCCGCGGGCCGCCACCGCCCCCCTCGCCGTAGCCTCCCGCGCGGGCTGGAGTTCTACATCCCGGTCCCTCCCTCCCTCCCTCTTTCTCTCTCCCCGCCTTCCCGGTGCTGCCACAGTGGCGGGTCGGAGGATCCCGGCCAGTCAGCTCGTTCCTGCCTCGCGCCCCTCCTCCCCCCAAAATAAACAGCCCTCCCCACGCCTCGGGAGCCCGGACCGCCCCCTTCCTCCCTCGGCCGGCGTGCTGTGAGGGAGAGTGTGAGCCAGCGCGGCCGGTGGGCGAGCTCCGGGAGTGCGAGAGGCGGGGCGGCGCGGCGGGCCGGGCCGGGTTTCGCGTGTGCGTGCGGGGGCGCGAGCGAGTGCTCATCACGACCCGCCAGTGGCCCCGCGCCGACAACCCGGCGGGCGGGCGGGCGGGGAGCAAGCGGTCAGGCAAGGAGCGGCGGCCGCGAGGCGCGGAGGGGCGCGGAGTCCGCTCGCGCGCACGCACGCACGCACGCGGGGGCGGGGGCAGGCGCGCGCCCGCCTGTCGCGACAGTCGGGGCCGAGGCCCAGGGGGAGGTGGCCTGTCGCGGGTCGCCCGGCTCCCGGAGGCGAGGGGGGCGCGGGCGGATGGCGGAGGGCGCCCAGCCGCATCAGCCGCCTCAGCTCGGGCCCGGCGCCGCCGCCCGGGGCATGAAGCGGGAGTCGGAGCTGGAGCTGCCGGTGCCCGGAGCGGGAGGAGACGGAGCCGATCCCGGCCTGAGCAAGCGGCCGCGCACTGAGGAGGCGGCGGCCGACGGTGGCGGCGGGATGCAGGTGACCGCGCGGGACGGGGCGCCCAGTTATTGCGGGGGTGGGCGTGAGGGTCGACACCGGGCTCCCCGGCTTGGAGAGAGGGAGGGCCTCCGGGAGTCCTGGGTTGGAGGTGGGATGGGGGGCCATTCGGGGCCTGGTTGGAAGGTGGGGCGAGCTCGGGCTAGGAACGAAGGTTGCAGGACTGAACCTGGTGTGCCCGAGAGGGTCCTGATTCCTGAGGGGCCAGGAGGCACGACGAGTGGATAGGTTTTGGGGGGAAATCGAACAAGGTTGAGATGGATTCCATTTTTTCAAATCCTTCCTTAGTGCCTTGGGGTGGAGTGGAAGCCGGGAAATCCTGGCTTCTCTGGACTGAGTCGAGGAAAAGGAGATCTGGTGGGAAACCTCCCGAGAAGAGGGAGTACCTTTTGGCAGCCCTGGGCACACGCTGGGATGGGGAAGAGAAGTGGCATTTCAATGAGAGGAGTGAAAAGAAAACTCCTCGAGAGAGCCCCGAGGGGATGTGGCTGAGATTGTGGGTTAAATCACACAGAGTGTGAGAAGTACAAGGAGTTTGGTAATGTTATGGGGACACGGTGGTGCTCAGTCTCATTTACTTTGTGGAGCATACTAATGAGTCTGAAGGGAGACACTAGACATGTCCCTCCTGTTCTTTGCCAATTGCATTCTACATCACCAGGACACAAAATAGCTCTTTAATGTCCCGGGCTATAAAAAAAATTTTTTTATAGGGCTATTAGAAGACTGGATTCTCAATTCTGGATTGAAAGATAAACGTGGTTAATTTGGGTAGGGAATGGGAAAGGTATTGATGTCAGCTGACTTCATAGTTTTGAAGAAGACCTTGAAACCTTTGGAGGTTTTACGATTTGGTCTTTGCCCAGAAAATACTGCTATGACATGATGAGTCTCACCTACCAACAGTTGTGCAGACTTGTGCCTAATTCTCTCGGAGTCATAGGATGTTAGAGGGATGCTAGGAGGACTAGACATCATCTTTTCCAGGGGTTCTTAACCTGGGAAGACTTGGAAGATTCTTACTCATAGTAGGTGATGTGCACTTTTTGGTGGAGGAGAGTCAATAGTTTTCATCTTTGTTTTTTTTGGAGGAGATTCAAGTCCCAGCTTGTTTTAACCACCTTATTTTATAGATGGGGAATCAGAAGTCCAGAGAAGATGGTGACTTGGGTAAGGCCACCCAGTTAGCTAATAGTAAAACTAGAACTAGAAGCCTGGTCTTCTAATTCCTATTCCTGTGCTGTCTCCATTACACCACTCTTGGAAATCTCTGCAGTGCTAAAAGACTTCCTGTGCTCTGCTCCCTGCTTTTCAAGCCTCTGCCTGACTTCCTGTGTTAGGGACAGAGCTGTACTTAAGCCTAGCATGTTTGTTGTATGCTTCTTGGTCTCCTTTGCAGAGTTTACCCTGTTACTTCTGTTGATTTAGGTAAAGTGACCCTCTTGGTGTTTATTTTTGAATTCTTTTGTTTTGTTTGCCTGCTTTTATTTTCCATTAGAACTCTGTCAGGCAGAGGGATTGTGAGAAGTAAAAGCTCAGGGCCATGGCAAAAAAGACAGGAATGTGGGAGACTTCAGGTGAGGTGAGCTAATATTGGATGATAAGGAGGGAAGACTGGATGTAGGTGCTGGTGAGCAGGTTCTACTTGGTGTGTGTGTGTGTGTGTGTGTGTGTGTGTGTATGTATTCATTTATCATTTCTGTCAATCCTAGTTAATAGTGAGACCCCCGTCCCTTTCCCTCATTTACTCCTGGGGCCTATTATCTGTTGGTTGCCTTCAAACTGGCTAAAGATAGTGATATTTGGAAATGGAGCAGTGTGTAGGGACTTCGCAGGGGTGTGCAGAGGAAAGAGTGGTTAGGTCCTTGGGGGTACAAATTGGCAGCTGAGAGTTATCCCTCCGAGAATCCTTTTTTCACTTCTTGTATTTTATTTTCTTTCTATACATTCTCTTTTTTTTTTTTTTGCCCAGGCTGGAGTGCAATGGCACGATCTCGGCTCACTGCAACCTCCACCTCCACCTCCACCTCTGGGTTCAAGGGATTCTCCTGCCTCAGCTTCCTGAGTAGATGGGATTACAGGCGTCTGCCACCATGCCCAGCTAATTTTTCTTATTTTTAGTAGAGAGGGGGTTTCACCAGGTTGGCCAGGCTGGTCTCGAACTCCTGACCTCAGGTGATTCACCCACCTCAGCCTCCCAAAATGTTGGGATTACAGGTGTGAGCCACCACACCCGGCCTTCTATACATTCCCATTGTTGTAGGTCCATTCCCCTATGTCATACAGGTATTCAAATCATTGATTTAGGCCCTGCCTTCAACTAGCTGAATGGTTCTGCAGAAATCTTTCATTTTGGGGCCTCTGTTTTCCTTAGTTGTAAAATAAAGTATGTGTACAAGATGATTTCCCTTGTAATCCACCCACCTCGGCCTCCCAAAGTGCTGGGATTACAGGTGTGAGGCACCGCACCCGGCCAAGTTCTAAGTTACCTTCTAAAAGTTATAAGTCCAGTTCACTGTCCTTAAGGTGCATGCAATCTATGTGGGGAGACAAATGGGCGAAAAGTTTTTTTTAAAGAAGCGTGCATTTTTAAAGAAGTGTGAGAGTATTACATGAATATACTTAATGTTTATTCATTGAACTAACATTTATTAAGCAGCTGCTACATCCCAGGCACTGTTTTAACCCTAAGAGATATAATAGTGAACAACAACAACAAAAAACCCTTGCTGTCATGGAACTAATATTGAATGGAAAGAGACATCTAATAAATCAACAACTATAATTGTGTGGTGATAAGGGCTAAAAAGAAAAAGCAGGGAAAGGGAGAGATGGAAAGGGAGAGAATGAAGATGGTTACGGAAGGGCTTTAAGATAGATGGCCTATGAGTGAAGTGAGGTAATGGGCCATTCAGATGCTTTCGGAAAGAGGGTTCAGGTAGAGGAGGTGAGGGTGCACAGGCATTGAGAAAGACTGCTTGGTTTGTTTGGAAACAGGAGACCAATGTATTAATAGCTGGAGCAGAGAGAGCAAGGGCAGGTAGTCTTAGGAGATGGTATCAGTGGTTTAGAAATATCTATAGGCCCTATGTAAATACACACTTTAAAAATCTTAGCCGGGCGCAGTGGCTCACGCCTGTAATCCCAGCACTTTGGGAGACTGAGGCGGGTGGATCGCCTGAGATCAGGAGTTCGAGACCAGCCTGGCCAACATAGTGAAACCCGTCTCTACTAAAAATACAAAAAATTAGCCAGGCGTGGTGGCAGGCGCCTGTAATCCCAGCTACTAGGGAGGCTGAGGCAGGAGAATCACTTGAACTCGGGAGGCGGAGGTTGCAGTTAGCTGAGGTTGCGCCATTGCACTCCAGGCTGGGCAACAAGAGCGAAAATCTGTCTCAAAAAAATAAAAAAAATCTTATCGTAGCCAGTGTTTTGGGTATGTGGGTTTGTCTTAAAGTACACGTCTTTTTTTTCTTTTTTTTTGAGATGGAGTCTCACTGTTGCCCAGGCTGGAGTGCAGTGGCTTGATCTCAGCTCACTGCAACCTCTGCCTCCTGGGTTCAAGCAATTCTTATGCCTCAGCCTCCTGAGTAGCTGGGATTACAGGCATGTGCCACCACACCCCGCTAATTTTTGTATTTATAGTAGAGATGAGGTTTCACCATGTTGGCCAGGCTGGTCTCGAACTCCTGACCTCAGGTGATCGCCTGCGTTGGCCTCCCAAAGTGCTGAGATTACAGGCATGAGCCACTGCACCTGGCCTGTTTTCTTAACACGTTTTCTAACTCCTTTTGTGAAGCCTTCCCTGACAGCTTAGTTCACACCATTCCGATCCTACTCTTGCCTCTTGGTATATTGATGCTTAATTGTGTGTCATCTTTTATTGTCCCTTAATTGTTTTATTATTCTTGTTTCACTGCTAAGATTGTAAGCTTCTAAAAGATAGGAACTATATTTCCTTTGTATTTATCCTTCGTAATACCTAACAGTTTTGGGTACTTGGTAAGTGCTCAATGCCTGTTAAATTGAAATTGAAATTTACCTTTTACAGATAGTTAAGGATTAAGAAAAATTGTGAAATTCCAGAGTGAGGGTATCATCACAGAATTTTCCAGGCACTTTGAATGTCAAAGGATTAACCGCTTTTTATAGAATAAGTTCATTTACTGGGGTCATTCCCAAGGCTGCTTACTAAATGGAGCTGTAGTGCTAAGCGTTAGATTCCAAAGTTGAATCTTGTTAAGTTGTACCACTAAGCTTTTGGAGTAAATCATCACTTACCAAAATGGAGTTTAGGAAACGCCAGAGAGTCTGTGATGCTTTTGTTATAATCCTTAGGCTCAGAAGGAACCCTAGGAGAAAGAGAGGAAGGGTCGGTGCTTTCAAAGGCAGTATACAGAAACTTGATGTAGGTGGAAGAGGAGTCAGTGCAGCCCTGGAAAGAGTACAGAAATAGAGAAACGTGAACCAGAGAGTAGGAGGGAAGTGACAAACTCAACTGGAAAGCTGATGTACAGTTTGAGAAATGTAGTTAAAGAGAGTACTTGGAAATACTGTACTCAAAGTTTGTGGGAAGTTAAATGAGTTAAATATAGGGCTATTAGAGGTTCATTTCACTTTAAGTTTAATATGTATGAAATTTACGCTCTATACAATGTAGTGGGGAATGAATTCTTTTGGTCAGCTTTTCTAGTGAACAATTTGATTCATAAAAATTTTATTTTTGTGCAGTTTTCTAAGAGTTTAGCTGCTGTATAAGGTAAGATGTACCTTATTACTTATAGCTTTCAGCAGAATTCTTTGTGTCAGTGAAATGTTGATATGGTATAATTATTATATGGCCAAGTAACCGCTTCTCACCATAGAGTCATAAATCCAGTTTAGCCAAGTGGGTTCAGCAGTTATTCCTATTAGCAGCTGATTCTAGTAGTAAGATGACTTTCTTTCAGGTTTCAGGGAAGGGGTTCCAGATAGCCTGAAGTTGCTTTGTAGATGCTGTGTTTATTGAAGTAGTTTATCTTCCCATTTGCTTATTTATGGGCTTATTTCCTCATAGGTGGATGTCTCTTTGTGCCCTCATTTGGTATTTGGTGCTGAAACTAAGCATGGTGCTACCATTCAAGAAGAGTTATAAAAATATTGTGTTTTTTTTTTCTTGCAAGTAATTTCATGAACAATATTTCACTGAAATTACTGAATTTTTCATCTCTCCCTGTCCCAGTGTCCTTGGGCTGCCACAGCAAAATACCATAGACTGGGTGGCTTAAACAACAGACATTTATTTCTCACAGTTTTGGAGGCTGGGAAGTCCAAGATGAAGGTGCCAGCAGATTTCATGTCTGGTGAGGGCCCACCTTCTGGCTTGTGGATAGCTGTCTTCTTGCTGTGTGTTCACATGGCCTTTCCTTTGTCTGTGCCCTGGGGGAGAGAGAGTCAGTGGTCTCTTCCTCTTCTTATAAGGGCACTCATTTATCATGTAGTTCCCACCCTCATGACCCAATCTGAAGCTAATTCTAGAGGTCCTACCTCCAAATACCATTACACTGGGGTTAGGGCTTCAACATACGAAATTTAGAGGGACACAGACATTAAGCCTGTAACACTACCAGAGTGGTAAATATTGTAGATGGAGAAACTGAGGAACAGTCATGTAAAACTTGTTGCTTTTTTCCCCATGTCTTACAAGGAAGTCTGCAGATGTAAAACTGGAAATGTATTTGAGAAGGAGAAAGTCAGATCTGATTTCAAAGTAGAATTATTCTTCAGGGTGACTCAAGAGATTAGCTTGAGTTGAGTTTGTCTCCCAACTCCCTCCCATTTTCTAGCTACTCTGTCATTTTTTTTTCACTATCACGCTGACATGTGAACACAACAGAAGCTAACTAGAAATTTAACTTTCATTTTGCTGTAAAGCAGACTGGTGCAGACAGGCCTCAAGTTTACAGGACTGCTGAGAAAGAAATTGAGTTATGCTACTTTGTATAAACAAGAATGTTGCTAGTGAATCTCTAGTTTAACATCTCTCAGGCCTTCAGTTTGATGTCAGGCTTTAATAATTTGTAGAAAAAGACAGTCATTTTAGTAAGCAGATTTCTTTGAATTTTTGTTGATATACATTTGTAAAGCATAGTAAACATCTTTATTCTGGGGCAAATGTGCACTTCCTTCAAAGGCAGGAGGGAAGAACCACAGACATGATTGGAAGGAAATGGCAGTAATTGGAGCATGAGCAGACAGATGGAGTGAGGGATGGTGAGTACATTTGGTGTTTTAGGTGGCCCCTAGGAGTATTGAGTTTCTTCTTATTCTCCTCTACAACCCCAATACAAGCAGGCAGCTTACATGGCTAAGGTTTCATTATCTAATCCATCACAGATCAGCTTGAATAAACCCATTGGCTGATGCTGATCTAGTTAGGAAAGTAGCAAAGCTGCTTGAGCCAGGATTGGGACAAATCGGATCAGAACTGCCATGTGAATCCTGGACGCATTTCTGTAATTTGGGTGGGCAAAGTAGTTTGGGAAGTCATTTACTCAAGAGAATGAGCAGTCAGCCATGAGTTTTTTCAAACATTGTCTTAGGGACTCTGAGGGGAAAGTGTGTGGAGGATTTGAGATATTTCTCTGGAGGATAGCCAGATTGCTTTGATTATTTGAGTCTGAACATTTTTTGGTCACTAATGCTCAGAAGTGACCTTTTTTTTTTTAGTAGCATTTGGAGATTCCAGTTGTGATCGTTTGTCACTTTTGTGAGTGATCCCTTAATCTGAGACCGTAGGATATATGTCCCTTCTCTGTTTTTATTTTATTTTTATTTTTTATTTTTATTATACTTCAAGTTCTAGGGTACGTGTGCACAACGTGCGGGTTTGTTATGTATGTATACATGTGCCATGTTGGTGTGGCTGCACCCATTAACTCGTCATTTACATCAGGTGTATTTCCTAATGTTATCCCTCCCCCCTCCCCCCACCCCAGGACAGGCCCCATTGTGTGATGTTCCCCACCCTGTGTCCAAGTGTTCTCATTGTTTAATTCTCACCTATGAGTGAGAACATGCAGTGTTTGGTTTTCTGTCCTTGTGATAGTTTGCTCAGAATGATGGTTTCCAGCTTCATCCATGTTCCTACAAAGGACGTGAACTCATCCTTTTTTAGGGCTGCATGGTATTCCATGGTGTATATGTGCCACATTTTCTTAATCCAATTTATCATTGATGGGCATTTGGGTTGGTTCCAAGTCTTTGCTATTGTGAATAGTGCTGCAGTAAACATACGTGTGCATGTGTCTTTATAGCAGCATGATTTATAATCCTTTGGATATATACCCAGTAATGGGATGGCTGCGTCAAATGGTATTTCTAATTCTAGATCCTTGAGGAATCGCCACACTGTCTTCCACAATGGTTGAACTAGTTTACAGTCCCACCAACAGTGTAAAAGTGTTCCTATTTCTCCACATCCTCTCCAGCACCTGTTGTTTCCTGACTTTTTAATGATCGCCATTCTAACTGTTGTGAGATGGTATCTCATTGTGGTTTTGATTTGCATTTCTCTGATGACCAGTGATGATGAGCATTTTTTCATGTGTCTGTTGGCTGCGTAAATTTCTTTTGAGAAGTGTCTGTTCATATCCTTTGCCCACTTTTTGGTGGGATTGTTTGATTTTTTCTTGTAAATTTGTTTGAGTTCATTGTAGATTCTGGATATTAGCCCTTTGTCAGATAGGTAGATTGTAAAAATTTTCTCCCATTCTGTAGGTTGCCTGTTCACTCTGATGGTGGTTTCTTTTGCTGTGCAGAAGCTCTTTAGTTTAATTAGATCCCATTTGTCAATTTTGGCTTTTGTTGCCATTGCTTTTGGTGTTTTAGTCATGAAGTCCTTGCCCATGCCTATGTCCTGAATGGTATTGCCTAGGTTTTCTTCTAGGGTTTTTATGCTTTTAGGTCTAACATTTAAATCTTTAATCCGTCTTGAATTAATTTTTGTATAAGGTGTAAGGAAGGGATCCAGTTTCAGCTTTCTGCATATGGCTAGCCAGTTTTCCCAGCACCGTTTATTAGATAGGGAATCCTTTCCCCATTTCTTGTTTTTTGTCAGGTTTGTCAAAGATCAGGTGGTTGTAGATGTGTGGTATTATTTCTGAGGGCTCTGTTCTGTTCCATTGGTCTATATCTCTGTCTTGGTACCAGTACCATGCTGTTTTGGTTACTATAGCCTTGTAGTATAATTTGAAGTCAGGTAGCGTGATGCCCCCAGCTTTGTTCTTTTGGCTTAGGATTGTCTTGGCAATGTGGGCTCTTTTTTGGTTCTATATGAACTTCAAAGTAGTTTTTTCCAATTCTGTGAAGAAAGTCATTGGTAGCTTGATGGGGATGGCATTGAATCTATAGTTTACCTTGGGCAGTATGGCCATTTTCATGATATTGATTCTTCCTATCCATGAGTCCCTTCTCTGTTTTTAAAGGGGAGATATTTTTATTACTAACCTTAATATGTAATCATATTTGTTATCCATATATACTTGAAATATGGTGTAGTAAATAAACACCATTTAGAGCTTCTCATTTTGGGATTTGAATCCTGGCTTCTCCATTTACCAAATGAATGAGCTATTCAACATCTCTGAGCTCCTGCTCACACATCTGTGAACTGGGAGAATTAATGTATACTCTTATAAACCACTGTAATGAGAACTGAGATTCTTTAAGGTGCCTATCAAGGAACCCAGCACTACATGTTTATTTCTTGCTTTCCTTATATCCTGCTATACAGCACTCACTAACTTCCTGCTTACTGTTTAATCTGCATGGAGTGGTTAATGTGCTTCTGATTGATTAAGTGCCAGAGTTGGGAACTACTAGAGATGAGCAGTGTGTTAAAGGGGAAACCTCATTTGCTCATTATCCAGGGTGGAGGAGTGGAATGAACTGGGTCATTGTGGTCTCTCTTGTCAGAGGAAGGGGAGACAATTCTTTGCTAAGGAGTGAAAGGACTGCTGCAGTATCACAGTGTCTGCAGGGGGGATGTGGATTTCTTAGAACCCGTGGGATCTCTGTTGGGAGGGTGGGTGACAGATTCACTGGCTGTTTTAGTGGTACATGGAAGGCAGGAACAGTAAAAATGTCGTGTTTCAAATTTTATAAGTTTTGTTACGTATGTTGGTTCAAAAGTGGCACTTTTTGTTCTCATTTTGTCTATGGAAATTGAGCTGGGATGCCTTTGTGTTGTCTCTTGTGGTCCCTTTTCAGTCTCTTCAAACCCGCTCTCCAGACTGCTAACACAGTGATCTATCTAAAAGAGCCAATCTGGCCAGGTGCGGTGGCTCATGCCTGTAATCCCAGCACTTTGGGA
Source organism: Homo sapiens (assembly GCF_000001405.40). Lineage (NCBI taxonomy): Eukaryota > Metazoa > Chordata > Mammalia > Primates > Hominidae > Homo > Homo sapiens. The sequence continues at coordinate 36,018,869 of NC_000022.11, read as the reverse complement.
GGCTGAGGCGGGCAGATGACTTGAGGTCAGAAGTTCGAGACCAGCCTGGCCAACATGATGAAACCCTGTTTCTACTAAAAATACAAAAATTAGCTGGGCGTGGTGGCGCATGCCTGTAATCCCAGCTACTTGGGAGGCTGAGGCAGGAGAATTGTTTGAACCCAGGAGGTGGAGGTTGCAATGAGGAGAGATCGAGCCACTGCACTTCAGCCTGGATGACAGAGTGAGACTCTGTCTCAAAAATAAAACAAAAGAGTCAATTTGTTACTCCACGCTTAAAATCTTTTGAGAGCTTGTGTTTTTTCTCAGGATTGTCTGTTCTCTTGTTTGGCCTGACTTCTGCGTAACTTTCAAGCTCCGTCTCTTTCCACATTCCACCTCCAAGTCCATGTCCAGTGGCTTATAGTTTTCTTAGCATGTGGTGCCACCCAGCTAATGAATACCTCTGTGCTTTTGTTCCTTTCCCTTCTACCCAAAGTTCCTGCTTCATCTCTTCTACCCCCACATTTGTAAGGCTCAATCTTTAATAATGAGTTTGGATATTGATTCCTCCTGGATGCCTTTTGTGACTATTCCCATGTCTCCCACACTCCTGCTGTCTTCCAAGACATCATGTCTATAGCTCTGTTAAAGGACTTTTTAGATTAATACTTGATTGAATGTCTGCCCCACCACGCTTACCCAGACTGTGAGATCCTTAGGAATCTGTAGGATTAAGCACCATGCCTGGGCCCAAGTAGTCAAGAAACTGTCCATTTTTGTTAAATTGAACTTTGTCTTCCTGCTTCTCAGTTGGGGCCTGCAGATGGCTTTAATTGTTTATCCAGATTTTCCCTGGGGGGTCTGGCCCTTGGTCTGCTTTCTATCCCCTGTGAAGACTGCATGTTGTGTGATATGTGAATGTTAACCTGATCTTTTCATTGATATCAGGGTTAAAGGTGAGAGAGGGGTCTCTGAAAACAGAAGCTGGGGTAGAATTTAACTGCAGAATGTGTTGGGTAGGCATAGCAACCTGATATTTAGTTTCCTGTGTTCAGATATTAATTGAGTGCACGTGTGTATATGTAAAAAGCTCCTTTGTGATAGTGTGGTTAAGGAGAAAAGAGGAACCACACAAGTGAGAGAGGCAATTAGAGCCAACCTGTTCCAGTTCGCTGGAGCAGGCTGTTGATTTACCTTTTTACAGTGCTGCTGCAGGATTCTGGAGTGTAGCAGTTCGCATGTATTACCACCATTTGGGGTGAGAACTATTTGATCAGCTAGGGACCTTAACCTTTCTCTTCTCAACCAGTGAATTTCATCGGATACTATAGCTTTATTTTTTATTTTTTATTTTTTTTGAGACCGAGTTTTTGCTCTTCTTGCCCAGGCTGGAGTGCCATGGCATGATCTCGGCTCACTGCAACCTCCGCCTCCCGGGTTCAAACAATTCTCCTACCTCAGCCTCCCGAGTAGCTGGGATTTACAGGCACCCACCACCAAGCCTAGCTAATTTTTGTATTTTTAGTAGAGACAGGGTTTCACCATGTTGGCCAGGCTGGTCTCGAACTCCTGACATCATGATCCACCCGCCTCGGCTTGCAAAGTGCTGGGATTACAGGCATGAGCCACGTGCCCGGCACTGTAACATGTTTTTATGGATCTGGGGAAAATACCAAGCGGAGACACTTCACAATACATGGTATTTTTCACATCACTCATATTGGATATGTTTGAAAATAAGGAAGTCTGATAGTGTTCCTTTAAATCTCAGCCTTGGCGATAGATTCATAGAAGTATTTTATAAGAATTCTCTCTGGCTGTTGTTCTCCCCTCCGACTTCACTTTCAGCTTCTGGTTTGGGGTCCTGTATAATCCTTGCCTGTTCCAGCCAGTTTAGTAGGGACCTCTTTAGCTGCAAATGATTGTACTTCATAGTGCCTCTGGCCTTTTCTATTCTAAATGAATAAAGAGAATTCTGAGAAGGGAATGAGAGAGAGCAGCCTGTAATATATCACTTCCTTCTGACATGTCCTGCACTTACGTGGCATCTAGAAATTTCTGCCAAAAATTCAAGGCACAGGACACATGATAAATACCACTTATGAAGTAGATGACATTCTTGAATTGTCAAATGATGGTGATGGAATAACTGCTTAAAAACCTGTTTTCCCAAGGGTGGAAAACAGCCTTTGAGGTTTAGACTTCCACATGGGTGTGTTCAGCCATAAGACGTGGGTTTTCTTAGGGACTTAGGTCCCCAGGTAACACCTTGGTGTGTGGGATTTTTCCCATGTATAGGCTGGTTCCTTGGTTTCTCCGTTGTTGAAGAAGAGAGATTTTGCACTGGGTATTGGATATTTTATTCCAGGCATGTGGTTTTTGAGGAGGCATATTGTTGATGTATTTTTTTTTTCTGGCTGCATTGATTTTTGTCAGATTCTAACTGGAAATACCACAAGCAAAGCATGATTTATCATGAGGGATGGGTGGTGTGGCCGTGGGACTCTCCTAGCTCTGGGGATTGGGGTGGAGGCAGAAGCTATGTGAGTAAAACTAGAGGAACTACAGACAGGGCCTGGGGAGACTGGGGGTGTCTGAATGTGGCCTGCAGCAGTTGCTTGAGTTGGAATACTTTTGGGCAGAGGCTCATAGAAATTTCTTTCAATTGCTTTTTTTTTTCTTTTAAGAAGCTTTTTCCCATACAAATTGGAATTGTTTGAAGGAGTGGGCCTTAATTGTTGCCAGCCAGAGTGATTTTCAAAGCAGATCTATATGGATTTCACTTAGGGGTTACTTTCAGGGGGTATGTGGCTTGTTCTGAGACAGGAGGACGTTGGTTCCATTTTCCTGGAAGTTGTTGGGACTCCTGGATGGCCCTGCTCTATTTGTCTTGGGCCATTAGGCAAGTGGAAAAGCAGCTACATAGTTAGCCCTGTTGCATGGAGTTTAGTTTCATAATTCATCCTCTCAGGGATTTTTATACAGTCACACTTACAGCCTAAAGTTTGTTTTCTCCCTTTTTCTTTCTTTTCCTTCTTCAGTTCAGTGGTCCACAAAAATTCTTGGGAGGGTAAGTAATAATTTCGGGTAAAAGGCAGGAATTGTAGATCTTTTTTTAGCCCCCTGCCCCGATTAAATTTCTCCATATTCAGCTTCTCCTTCATCTGCAAAAGCATCTGCAAATGAGGTCGCTATCCCCTAATCAGACTGGCTTGTCCCCTAATTAGTCTGAATATGTGGCTTTGACAGCTTTCACCTGCTGTTTCTTAGTTTCTAGGGGATAAGATAGGATTGTGTGATTTCAAAGTGAAAACTGGCAAAATTGAAAGATGTTTTGTGGTGGCTCCCAACATCCACAAAGCTTAACTCATTGGTTTGCTTCTCATATACAAGCTTCCAGGAACATGGTTACTGTTAGTGGCTGGCACAGTGGGTTTGAAGACTTTGTTGGAACTTCAGGAAGTTTCCCCTTTGGCAAAGCTTACAGGGAGTTGGTAGTACTTGTCCTGAAAGTCTGACCCTGGTCTTATGCTATGCACACCTTGTTTAAAAGAATGCAGAGTACTGCTATTCAGCTATTGCTTAAGCAGTCCGTTTCATATATGTCTGCATTAGTTACATACTTACATAAGATTTTACTATGTTTTGTGTTATATTTGAACTAGAAGTCATAGTTTCATACATGACTCTTATTAAGCTGATAATAAATTGGCAAATTTTGATATCATCCAAGACTTTGAGGTAATGCTGGTCATACTCAAAAGGTCTGTATTTGGGTTTAGAAACTAATTTTTCTGTTAGCTAGCGCCTCTCCATTCCCAGGTGCTGTTCATTACTCATTATAGACATCTTCTGTCCCTCTGCTTTGTTAAAAGTCTTTAGCTGCTTGTCATGATACTGAATAGATCTTTTTGCAGCAGCATTTTAGCTCTGAGCTGGCTGTGTTTTACAGTGTTGGAGATCAGTTGGTTAACTTTGGCATTTCCTACCTTCATACGTAAGCATTAAAGTGTGTTAAGTGCATGTAGTAGCCCTTCAGAGAGGCGCTTATCAGGGACTTCTAGTGATTTTTGTCAGCTGTATAAAAATGCTATGATTAATAGATAACCTGTATCTGTGTGTGCATGCGCAATTTTCTTTTATGCTTACTCTGCGTTTCTTTCTCTAGGAGTGGTGTGAAATAAGTGTTACTCTGTAGGCTTTGCTTTTTTTCAATAATGAGAAGCTTATTTTAAGAATCCCTTATTTGACTTTCTTGAGTTTGGTGTAGGTATCATTTACCCCTTTTGGATTTTAGCTTTACTATGGGTTATTTTTTGCAGTGTTAGAAGCAAGTAGTAAATACTTTGGTATCCCCGAGCTTAAAGAAACCTAAAAATTTTGACTCATTCAGCATTCTGTTTTAAGTTAGGAAATTATTTAATTCTAGTATCCCAAGCTGTATTGTATTGATTGCTCTTTAAGAAATGATAACAGGTGGCCGGGCGCGGTGGCTCACGCTTGTAATCCCAGCACTTTGGGAGGCTGAGGCGGGCGGATCACGAGGTCAGGAGATCGAGACCACGGTGAAACCCCGTCTCTACTAAAAATACAAAAAATTAGCTGGGCGTGGTGGCGGGTGCCTGTAGTCCCAGCTACTCGGAGAGGCTGAGGCAGGAGAATGGCGTGAACCCAGGAGGCGGAGCTTGCAGTGAGCCGCGATTGCGCCACTGCACTCCAGCCTGGGCGACAGAGTGAGACTCTGTCTCAATAAAAAAAAAAAAAAGAAATGATAATAGGTATCATCCTGCCCATGCCCCAGCCCCCCACCAAAAAAAGTTAAATAACTTTGGACATTAGAATTAAACACATTAAAAAAAAAACCTATCACACTACACTTTTCATAAGCAGACGTTGTGATGCTGAACTATTGTGTAGCGTTTTCCAAACCAGGATTTACGCCCAGATTCCCTACCGGTAAGTTAATTCCTAACTCTAAATTCATAAATACATATGTAATGAAATGTCTCCTTTTCATTTCTGCTTCCTATGTGTCCCTATCCCCTTTACCAAACAAGTAACCACTGTTACTAATTTGTCTGTTATCCCCCCTCCTTTCTTTTTGACACAAATATTAGCATACTCTCTGTATTTTTTGCTCCTTGCTTTTCTCCATTTCCTATATCAGAGGCTACTTTTTCAAATGTAAAAAGGTCTATTAAAGTTTTCATTAGTGGTCTCTCTCTCTCTCTCTCTCTCTGTGTGTGTGTGTGTGTGTGTGTTTGTGTGATGCTTAGTGAAGGTTTTACCACTCTGAGATTATAAAAAAATAGAATGGCCTTGCAGACAGACAAACCTTAGGTGGTGTACCAGCATTTCCACTTCACAGCTGTGGGATCTTGGTTAAGTGACTTAACTTATCTAAGCCTCAGCTTTCTTTGTAAAATGTGTTATAGGATTAGTGTAAGAATTAAAAAGCGATACTGTATGTAATGTGCTTAGTTCAGGGCCTGACACGTAGTAGGTATTCTATTATGTAATAGCCATTTTTATTATTATTACTCAGTCCTATTTTCTTATTCTTGTCCCCAAGTGCTTTTTGAATTCTTTCTTAAAGGCAGGAACAATCTTTTTCTTTTAGAGGGTCTCACTCTGTCACCCAGGCTGGAGTGCAGTGGCGAAATCATAGCTCACTGCAACCTTGAACTCCTGGGCTCAAGCAGTCCTCTGCTTCAGCCTCCCAAGTAGGTGAGACCATAGGCATGTGCCACCATGCCCAGCTAAGGAAAAATCTGTTAACTTTTGTAGCCTTGTGCCCAGGATATAATATAATAAGAACTGAGTAGTCCGGGCTCAGTGGCTCACACCTGTAATCCCAGCATTTTGGGAAGCCGAGGCGGGCGAATCACGAGGTCAGGAGTTTGAGATCAGCCTGGCCAACAGGTTGAAACCCCATCTCTACTAAAAATAAAAAAAATTTGCTGGGCGTAGTGGCAGACACCTGTAATCCCAGCTACTTGGGTGGTTGAGGTAGGAGAATCGCTTGAATTTGGGAGGCGGAGGTTGCAGTGAGCCGAGATCATGCCACTGCACTCCAGCCCGGGTGACAGAGTGAGACTCTGTCTCAAAAAAACAAACAAAAAAAAGAACTGATAAATGTTTGTTGAAAAAGATATATTAGCCCTTATACAATCTATTTTTTTAAATCTTAATAATTTGTGTTGCTTTTTCTATAGTCACCCTCCAGATTTGAAGCATGGTGACTAAAATTGCTCGTAATACTCAACAATTACATTTATGTTATTATTATTTTTAAGAGATATTCTTAGTCACTCAGGCTGGAGTGCATCACTCAGGCTGGAGTGCAGTGGTGGGATCATAGCTCACTGCAGCCTTGAACTCCTCAAGCGATTCTGCCACCTCAGCCTTCCAAGCAGCTGCACCCAGCTTCCGTGTTATGTTTTACAGTTTATAAAATGCTTTCGTGCAGGCCCTTATTTATTCTCTTCAACAACCCTGAAAGATAGGTGATGATTCTTCCCATGTTTCAGCTGAAAATATACCTCTCTAAGCCTCATGACTAGGAAGTGGCAAAGCTGATGCTTTTACCCAGATCTTGTGGCTCTTTATCCAGTGCCTTTTCATGGCCCTTAAGACTGAAAGGGTATGACTGATGAGGAATGGAGCAAAAGGAATTTCATTGGTTTGGCATGCCGTATATTTAATATTGAAAACATTTTACCTGTTACCTGACAGCTGATTCATGTAGAACTGGGATGACAGTTGTGGTATGCATGATAGTTTGTCGTTGTTTTTTGGCTTTTTTTCATCTCAAAGTTATTCCATCTCTAATTTAGATCAACAACAGATCAATCAGTGGATTGATAATGGTGGGTAGTATAAAATCATCAGAGCTGAAGGCATCTAGAAATTATCTGTACCAGCCCTCTGCTTTAGTCATGGAAAATAGTCAGTATACTCATTTTTATAGACAGTGTATCTCAGGCTCAGAGAGAGAATGTGACAACAAACAATAAACTCAGACTTTGTCTTTAAGGCTCAGTAGAATCTTTCATTTCTTAGTCTTTTTATTTCTTGGTGTGATTTTTTTCTGACAGTTTCTTGTATGGAGTATTTTCTTCTTCCTTTTACATTTTCTTAATGCATATATATTCACATGGTTAATGATTCAAAATATGCAAAATGTAGAAGAGTCAAAAATCTCTCCCTCTCCTAGCTGCCTATTTTATCTTTTTGGAAGTAACTAGTATTGTTAGTTATCTGGGTGTCCTTCTAGAGACAGTGCCTACGTAATATTTCTTTTAAAAACTCCATTGACAGTATGCGTACTATTCTGCACTTTGCTTTGCTTTTCTATTTGGAAATTATTTCGTATCAGTTTATATATGTATATATATTTTTTTCTATTTATTAGCTTTCTGGACTTAAGATTCTGGTCTACTGAGAGAACCATGTCCAAATGTCCCTTGTAAAGATGACTGATTAGTACAGGACCTCAAATAATATGATTCTGTGTTTTAATGGAATCATGAAATCCCAGGATTGGAGACCTAATCTACATCTCTTGTTTTTTCACGTGAATACCCTGCAGATACCTGATGTTGCTACCTTTTAGAGATGTCTGAGTGAAAGATAGGTATCCTCGTCTCTCCATGTGCCCCAGTCAGCTGCCCCTGGTCTTTTTTGCACTGGTGGGGCACATTGTGGGTCAGCTATCGTATATGTCATTGAGTTAGTAATTATACTCAGGATCTGCCATGAGTCATTGCACATGGAATCTAACTGCAGTGTGAGTTTTATTCATGATGACATCTTGTATACCAGATGTTTCCCAGATGCCTAGGTTTATCCTGATTGAGTGTCACTGCTGTCAGGATGCTGTTCAGTGAACTAAGTTTTGTGTTGAATTGTGAGAAAGGAAGGTTTAGTTTCTAATAGGTGTTCCATCTCAGCAGCCATAATTGCCACTGGCTACCCTTAACCCCTCTGTCTGTGGAAAGCCCCAGGATTGAGTGAATGCTCTTCTTCCCTAGGGTATGGCCTCTCCGTAACTGAGACTTGATGGGAAGTAAGTAGATTTGGCTCAACAAATAGAGAATATAAACACACGTGTGTGTGTGTGTGTGTGTGTGTGTGTGTGTGTGTGTGTGTGTGTACTGAACAGTAATTGGATTCTGATTCAGATGTGGAGTTAATGATATCAAACTTAGGCTTGACTCTAGCACAGTTAATCTTTATAGACTTCCACATTTAAAGATATGAAATAAAATGTGCCTTTCGGAGTTGGCTTTTGCAATAGCCCTTTTTCTCCGTGAGAATATTATAGAAGAGGTAGTATTCTAGCTGTTTAGAGAATGAGAATGAGGCCAGTGGGGTTGTGTCTCACTCTCTAGGTGAATGTCGACCTCTACTCAGTTCTAATCTCACCGTGCAGTCTTTGTGGTCCCAAGGCTCTGCAGTAGGTGAATTAGGCCCGCGCAGTCTCTGTGGCCCGAGTCACAGAGGAAGGTGTTCCTTTCCCAAGTAGTGAATGGAAGCCGGCAGGGCACCAGATGCTGTGTTGTTTCCCCTGTTGCTTTTTCCTTCACACCCGGTGTAAAGTTTCCAGGCATTTGTGCAACCTGATAGCAGAAAGCGCCTGTCCTAGCAGTCGAGAGATGGGTTGGCAGGGGCTCAGGTTACTCCATGTCCCTGATAAGAGCCATCGATCTGGGCTGGTGGCTGCTGATAGGTGGGAACTATACTGCCTGCATTCTACCCAGCAGGAATGATGTGGGTCTCAGTAGTGTTTCAGGACTCCGAGAAGGTACCCAGGCAATTTAGAGGTCTGGCCAGCATCTCTAGGGCAGCAGCACACACTAAGATGTAGATTTTACCTTAGAAGAGATGGGTTTTAGGAAATGGTGGCACACAGGAGCGGAAGAAGTACCAGCATAGGAAAGGTGAAGTGCCAACCCGAGGAGTGGAAATGGTATTTTCTTATTCCACCTGGTAACCTAAAACTCAGTTGCGCAGTGACTTAAATTTGCAGAGGATATGTACATAGATAATTTTAATACACTGCTTGGATGGAAATAGTCACAGAATATATGTGAAAGTGTAGTGGCAGGTGGCTCTGTGGTAATAGATACTCTGTGAATACCTCTGTCTGAGCAGTTATCACACTGTATTAAAATATTTGGTTAAGAGGGCCCTTTCTGTCTGGGCACAGTGGCTCATGCCTGTAATCCCAGCACTTTGGGAGGCCAAGGCGGGTGGGTCACTTGAGCCCAGGAATTTGAGACTAGCCTGGGCAACATGGTGAAACCCCGCCTTTACAAAAAAACAAAAAACAAAAAAAACGAAACTTAGATGGGCATGGTGGTGTGTGCCTGTAGTCCCAGCTACTCGGTAGGCTGAGGTGGGAGGACCTCTTGAGCCCAGGAGGCAGATGCTGCAGTGAGCCATGATTGCACCACTGTACTCCAGGCTGGGCAACAGAGCGAAACCCTGTCTCAAAAAAAAGGAAGGCCCTTTCTGGTACCAGAAATTCTGTCTCTAATCTTACTTAGCTGTGTGTCCTTTAGGCAAGTTACTTAGCCCCTCTGTGCTTCAGTTTTTTATTTGTAAAATGGAGATAATAAATGAGGCTTGTACTAAATGAGTCATTACAGTTTTTTGTGTTATCTGTTGTTATGGTGGTTGTTATAGCACAAAGCACGGGCGCCAGAGACCATGGCAAACACATGATGACTGGAGGGCTGCAGAGTTCAGTATTTATTGTGTTCACTGAAAGACTTCTAGTATTAACTATGCTGGGTACCATACAGAAGCAAATGCATGAGATATTAACTGTGTGACTGTAAAATATATGACGAGAGTCAGTTTTTTTTGAAGCTGTGTAGAAAGAATATTGATGTGAGAAGTTTCAGTATCCTATGGCAGTTTCAGAGAAGGAATCTTCCTTCTTTCCTTTGGGAGGCCCTTCAGCTTTCTTGGTGTTTTGAAGATAGATTGTATATTTTACTTTAAGGTAGGACAATACTTAACTATTTCAGACAGGTATGAATCTTTCCTTTTTTTTTCTTTTTTCTTTGAGACAGTGTCTCATTCTGTGGCCCAGGCTGGAGTGCAGTGGTGCAATCTCACTGCAACCTCCCCCTCCCAGGTTCAAGTGATTCTTATGCCTCAGCCTCCCGAGTAGCTGGGATTGCAGTTGTGTGCCACCACGCCCAGTTAATTTTTTCTGTTTTTAGTAGAGGTGGGGTTTCACTGTGTTGGCCAGGCTGGTCTTAAACTCCTGGCCTCAAGTGATCCACCTACTTCGGGCTCCCAAAGTGCTGGGATTACAAGCATGAGCCACTGCTCTTGGCCCCTATTTTTTGTTAAACCTCTAGGAGAAACCATTTTAGATCAGAATCAATCCATTCATCCATCCTTTCTTCCTAATCTCTCTTCCTTTTTCTCTAAAAGGGAAAAAGTGCTAACATTTTAAACACTTTGGTTATTTATATTTAATGTAATCCTCTCTTATTGTGTAACAGCCCTCCCCCTTCTTTTGCTTGGAGACAAAATTTGATTGAACAAAATTTGAATGTTTACCACATGTTAAACATTGCTAGATGCTGGGGTTAGTTACAGAGTTAATGGAATGTTCTTATAAAACTTGAGTTTTGGGGAAGGTTTATGGAACAACTATAAAATTAGAATAAAAATTTGATAACACAATGGTTTGATAAGGGTGTGAGTAAAGAAATAGGAACTCATATTGCTGTGGTGGTGAAAAGTCACATAACTTCCATGAAGAAGTATTTATCAATGTCTATTAAAATGTAAAATGCACGTATTCTTTGACTCAACAGTTCCACTTCCAGGAATTTATCCTACAGATGCTCTTGCATCTGCGTATAAGAATATACATTATAGCATTATTTGAAGTAGCAGAAGGTTGAAGAAACAAAAATGCTCGTTGACAGGAAATCTGCTAAATAAAATAAGGTACATTCTTGATGAGAAAAAAAAAGGTACATTCATACAGTGGAATATCATGTAGCCATTAATTAGGCAGCTCTGTATGAACATAGAACACTCTTTAAATATATCAATTGTGAAAATCAAAGTACAGAAGAGTGTATAGTTTGCTGTTATTTGTATAAAGTAAAAAAGTATCCGTGTGTGCATAGACTCTGCCAGGAAACACAAGACTCCCCAGCGGTTGCCTCCTCGGAGGAGCATTGAGAGACAGAGGAATAAGGGTATAGGTAAAGACTTAATTTTTATTGTATATAAAAAAATCATACCAACAAAATTTGTTAATTGTATACCTTTTGTTCCTTTTGAATTTTGTATTACATGCATGTATTACTTGTTTTAAAAATAAAATAATGTATTAAAATTACACAGGGATAGGTACTGTGTAAACATAGGGTTTATGGTCCTTAAACTTGCTAATTTTCATAGAAATGAGTCAAGTTGTGTGTTGGAGAAAAAGTATGCCAATTCTGCTTACCACAAATAAAAAATAGTACTTGTGTGGTGGCGCATGGTCATTTTGTCATTTTGATTTTGTGTATGACATTGTTTATTCTATGTAGGATATTCCAGTACTTATATTTACTTATTATGTATTTATATTATATATATTTATATGTTTGTATATTAGCTATGTTTTCTTACATTTTTTATTTACTGAAAGTGCTGATATGGAGGGGTAGATAAGAGATGATTAAAAATGGAAAGTACATTAGAAATGGTGAATGTGTATACAAGATGAATCATTCAACAATACAATTATAAAGGGTCAAGTGCAAATCATAAAGTGGATTGAGAAGAAGCAAAATGAGTGAGAATCACTACCATAAGCCTCTCCCTTGTTCTTAAGAAATGTCCCCTAGCTAGACATGCACCCATGGGTTACTTGGATTTTTTTCACCTTGGAATTTTATGAACAAATGGACTTAGGAGCAGCCTTTCATTACAGAACCTAACTTGGTGGTGGATAGAGGAGTGTCTGTACCAAGCCAGGATGAGTAGTGCTTCTATGGGAGCATAATGGAGGAATTGAGGGATTCTTATCTGGCTGGGGTGGGATGGGCATTTGGAGAACATTCTGCAGAAGCTGTTGCTGCGTATTGAGTGGATAAGCAGGGCAGGTCATTCTAGACAAAAGAAACAGTATGTACAAGGGCAAGGTATGAGAGGAACTGCAAGTGAGTCAGTGAGGTTGGGGTGGAGGGCATGCGAGCAAGGGATTTGCCCAAAGTGTCGTTGGTAGTTAGTTCATCCGCACACTGCTGTTCTCTTGCAATCATGTAGGACCATTGTTCACCAAGCTGGCTGGGCACTGGTGATTAGATTCTCCTACCACTTCAGAAACATATCCTTATAAGGGTAGATGGAGGAATATAGTCTTTGTTCATTAAGGAAAAAAAGAGAAAGCAAAAAAGAACAAAGAAAATCTGTATTTGGTTATGTTGTACATATGTAGTTGTACTGACTTCCAGCAGACTATCTTATTTTCTTTTTCTCATCTGTCTGCATCCTTCAAGAAACTTTCCCTCTATTTGGAACCACAGGTTGAGTGCCGCATGGACACAACTTGAATCTTATGTTCTGTTTGATTATATTTGAATTTACATGAAGCACTTTCTACCATGCAGGCATGCATTTTGCTCTTCATAGCATGGAATGCTGTAACAATGTTGTTTTGTCCATTAGAGGCTTTCAAAAATTTTTATCAACATTTAAGTGCTTAATTTCTACAGTATACCAGGGCTGGCAGTAGGTAGGCAGGTGATATTTTATTCACATACCCTATATATTTGCACATTTTGATTGCTCGTTCTGTTAATTAAGGAGAGAATTTCTCTTTTGTAGCTGAAATGTTTTATGCTTTGAATCCACTCAAAGACAAATTATTCTGGAAAGCTTGAACTAAACCTGGTCAGATGCTTCTGAGTTATGAGAGAGGGATTGAAATAAACTTTTTCAGCTAAAAATAATTTTGCTCACAAGTTACCAAAAATGGCTGACTAGAAATGCTTTTAAGATACTTGTCTAAGCTACCATAAGCTAAAGGTCAAGAAAAAAGTTTAGAACACGTTATGAGAAACGATTGGCTCTACTTTGCTAAAGCTTTTGCCAAACCTCTTATTCTGTAATGACCACATGAGACAAAAGCTGGTGAAAGTGGTATGCCTTAGATTCAGTGGGGACCTAGAGATTTTTTCAGTGGAACACATGTGCTGCCTATCTCTTCTGACGACGAACTAGTACCTGTGGAAGGCACTAGGGTTAGGTGAAAATGGGACACTTCATTCTGAAGCTGTTATACAATTGCCTATGCCAATTAATTATTTAAAGCTTTTATCTTCTGTTGCAGAGCAATTTTTGCCCTCAGAATATTTGTCAGTCCTCACAAAGTGCCAAGTGATGGGTATTTAGCATGTGGCATTGCCGTCAGTGTTCTGTCATTTTGTTTAGACACTTCTTTGCATCTCACTGAATTGCAGAATTAAGAATCGTTCACATTTATGGGCAGCACGTTTTTGCAGTATGGTCATTTATCATTGGAGTTTATATTTTATGCTTCCTTCTAGACTCTTAGTGTGCTTTCACGATTATCCAGAGGATTCCTTTGCAGCAGCAGTGTATGCCACTGATTGGTGGTGGTAGCCTTGAGAAACTAGGGAGGCATGTTGACTTTCCTTAAGGTTGCTTAGTATTGTAGAATAAAATCTTGAATTAGAGTAAAATTCAGAGAGAGCTGTTTTTCCCCGTAAACATCATTCTTTTGAATACAGCCAGTATTAAGCCAGGATGCGTTTTCTTCCTAAATTTAACACGTATTTATTGAGCATCTAATGTGTATGAGGTTATGAGAAGGGAAGTTGAATGAGCTTATGTTAGAGGAACTCAACCTTTCCTCAGAGAATGGGAGTCTGCAGGCAGAGGTGGTGGTGTTGACACTTCGAGGAGAGTGAGAAGTTTTAGAAGTAGCTGCTGTTCCTATGTAATAAGGATTCATCAAGAAGTGGGATGAAAGGGTTGCTCAGTCTCAGTAAGTGCCAGCTGGGATTGAGTTGGTCCTGATGGTTTAACTTTTTTTTTTTTGAGACAGAGTTTCACTCTTGTCGCCCAGGCTGGAGTACAATGGTGTGATCTTGGCTCACTGCAACCTCCACCACCTGGGTTCAAATGATTCTCCTGCCTCAGCCTCCCAAGTAGCTGGGATTACAGGCACTTGCCACCATGCCTGGCCAATTTTTATGTTTTTAGTAGAGATGGGGTTTCACTGTGTTGGCCAGGCTGATCTCAAACTCCTGACCTCAGGTGATCTACCCACCTCGGCCTCCCAAAGTGCTGGGGTTATAGGCGTGAACCACCTCGCCCAGCTGTTTCTTAACTATCAGACAGTACTTGGAAGCCCATGAGTGTAGCTGAGTGCACGTTACCTAGTGCCAAGTGTCAATAAACTGAGATGAATGGGTTCAGGTAGAATAAGGGCGTGGGAGAAAACAAAGGACAGCAGGAGCTTTTCCTACGAGTTTGAGATCTTGACGTTAGAAGAGTTTTGGGTAGCAATGATGTGTAAGGATCCAATGGATGAGTTTGGTGTAGGTAGTGCCCCCTGGAAATAAGTAGGTTGAAGAACTTGGAGTCTCAGTTTTGAAAGTGTTGTCAACTTGAATGTTGAAACGATCTAGGCCTAAGCATTGAAACTCTGGGCAAATTGGGAGAAAGTCATGGAGGTTGGGGAAGTGGAAAGAATGATGTATAAGTGGGTTAACTCAGTGACTCTCAACTGGGGGTGATTTTGTCCCCTCAGTTGACATTGGCAACGTCTGGAGACATTTTTGAGTTTTATAATTGTGGAGGTCTTACTGGCATCTAGGGGTTGGAAGCCAGAGATGTTACTTTAACATCCTAAAGTGCACAAGAGAGTCTCCCACAATGAAGAATTATCTGGCCCAAAATGTCAGTAATGCTGAGGTTGAGAACCCTGCATTAACTTTAAAAGAACAGTTGTTGAGTAAAGGCAACAGTTGTTGAATGTGACTGTTTCTCTCCCCTTCTACTCTGCTTTGTAGAACTCTGCACATCCATTTATTCTTCCACTTAGTGACCATTTATGGAGCTCCATTTATGTGCCAAGGCACCATGCTAGATAGTCATTAGGAGTATCAAATTAATTAGATGTCACCTCTTTCTTAAAGTTTATTTTTGTTTTTTCCCCCTTAGTTATCCTTGTTCTGATTAAAGTTTATTTTTAACTGTGAATTAATTAATATGCAAGTATATTCTTACCAAAAAGCCAAAAACTCAAACGTATAAGGCCAGTGACCACTTTGACCACCACCTCCAATATCTGTTCTTTTCCTAGAGGTACCCAGTACTGTCAGCTTGGTATGTGTAGCTGGACATTTGAAGGTTGCTTCCCTACATCTAATTTTTTCCCCCTTTTTTATGCCACGCTAAGAAGTTTAATTTTGAAAATTTGTCCTAGGCTGCAAGTTTCTTAAGATAGGGACCAGGTGTTTGGTTTTTCTTTTTGAATTATTACAATACATGGTACACAGTTGTCACTCAATAAATGTTTGCTGAATAATGAATGAAATGAATCAATAAAAGAATGAATGAGGAGCAAAAAGAATGCCAACGCCTAGTAATGGCCTTCAGGCTTTGGAAGGCTGCAAAGTATGTTTATGGGAAGAATGAGTTAATATCAGGATGTGAAAGAAGAAAAGGGTGAAGGAAAATTCCAACTTGTAGGAACAGAGAAGGGGTTACCAGCAGGCCCAGTTGATAAGCTGGTCAGAAGACAAAGTTGAAGTTTGAGAAGGAACAGAGATCTTCATTGTATAGGGGATAAGAGTTCAAGGAGTGTCTTTTGAAGAAAGGAAGGTCTTTTGAAGAAAGTAATTGCAAGTTAGCGATTGGAAAAACTTACTAAGGTAGGAGCTGCTTAGAACTGGAAGAGTCCGGGCTGGGCGTGGTGGCTCATGCCTATAATCCCAGCACTTTGGGAGGCCAAGGTGGGGGGATCATCTGAGGTCAGAAGTTTGAGACCAGCCTGGCCCACATGGCGAAACCCCCATCTGTACAAACATACAAAAAAATTAGCTGGGTGTAGTGGCACATGCCTGTAGTCCCAGCTACTCAGGAAGCTGAAGCAGGGGGATCACTTGAACCTGGGAGGCAGAGGTTGCTGTGAGCTGAGATCGTGCCATTGCACTTGAGCTTGGGTGACAGAGTGAGACTCCGTCTCAAGAACTAGAAGAGTCCTGAAGTTCTTTCTGGAGTATTGGTGTGATAGAAGCATTAGTAGTTTCTTTTATGTTCTGGAGAACTTCTGTGCACATAAATGTTTATAGATATATACCCCGTTTGTATACCAAAGGAATCTTCATTATTTTTCACTGAACAAAACACCTTAGAGAACATTTCGTTTGTTTTGCCAATCAATCTAATTCTTTTAAATGACCACATAGTATCCCACGGTAAGTTTTTTTGTTTGTTTTTTTTAAAATCATGATTTGTTTAAACATGTCCTATTGCTCGACATTTAGGTCGTTTCCAGTCTTTTGCTATTTGAAACAATGCTGCTTGTATGTATGTTGCTGTGTGCATAAGATAAGCACAAGAAGACGGATTCTGAGAAGTGGAATTGTGTTTCTAAGGGTCTGCACATTTTAACTTTTCATAGGTATTGCTGAGTATCAGAGGGACATTTTTCTATTATGTTACCGTACTTTCATTTTTCACAAGCCGAAGTGAAAAATGGTATCTTGGCTTTTTAATTTGTTTGTTGTTGTTGTTGTTGTTTTCTTTTTTCTTCTGTTTTTGAGGCAGAGTCTCACTCTTGTCATCCAGGCTGGAGTGCAGTGGCACAATCTCGGCTCACTGCAGCCTCCGCCTCCCAGGTTCAAGCAATTCTCCTGCCTCAGCCTCCCAAGTAGCTGGGATTATAGGCGCCTGCCACCACGCCTGGCTAATTTTTGTATTTTTAGTAGAGACGGGGTTTCACCATGTTGGCCAGGCTGGTCTCGAACTCTTGACCTCAAGTGATCCGCCCGCCTTGGCCTCTCAAAGTGCTGGGATTACAGGCGTGAGCCACCACGTCTGGCCCGGCCTGTTTTTCTTTTCTTAAGACAGGATCTTGCCCTGTCGTCCAGGCTGGAATGCAGTGGTATGGTAATAACTTACTGTAACCTTGAATTCCTGGACTCAAGCCATCCTCCTGCATGGACCTCCTGAGTAGCTAGGACTAAGGCATGCACTACTATGCCTGGCTAATTTTTAAATTATTTTTTGTAGAAACAGGGTCTTGCTATGTTGCCCAGGCTGGTCTCAAGCTCCTGGCCTTAAGTGATCCCCCACCTCAACTTCTCAAAGTACTAGGATTACAGGCATGAGCCCCTGTGCCTGGCCTAATTTGTATATTTTTAGTTTAAGGGAATCTTTTAAAAAAACATTTCTACAAATCATTTATATTTCTTTTGTCATAAACTCAGGTTCAAAAGAATTGTTTTTTTCTTATTGATATGTAGGAACTTTTTATAAATTAATGAAAGTAGTGTTTGTCATTCATGTTGCAGTTTCCCATTCAGCTTGTCACTTGTCTTTTGGATTTGTTTGTGGTGTATACATGTATGTGTACATGTATATACATATAGTGTGTGTGTGTGTGTGTGTGTGTGTGTGTGTGTGTGTGTGTGTGTGTGTATGTTTTGGGGCCAGAGAAAAACATTTGAATGTAATTAAATATATAAAGTGTTTATTTTAAAACTCTTGGATCTTCTTTCTGAGAAGGACCTTCTTTACTCTGTTTAAAAATAGCTTTCTGTGCTTTCCTTTAGTACTTTAATGGGAAAACCTTGGGTTTAGTTTTGATGCTATCATTTATTAGTTTTGTGACTTTGTGCAAATCATATAATCTGTCAGAACCTCAGTTTCCTAAACTGAAAGGGTTAGATCAAGATGATCTGTAACAGTGTAAAGAACTTTCATTTCTAAAATTTCTTCTTTGCTTTTGAGTAGGATTTAACTTTTGTGTTATGTGGAGATAGGGAGTTGGAGACAGGTTAAGGGAAAGATGTCAAGAGGCAGGCAAAAGCAGAAAGAATCAGGACTGTGAACAAATGAACAAACAAAAAAGAGCCCCGAGAGGATAGAGGAAAAACGAAGGAAAACAGATGGGAGGTAGATACTGAGAACTCCGGTGGAATGCTTTTTTCCTATCACAGGAGATAAAAAAACATTCCCGGGTACCTTGTTCATTCACCTTCCCACCCTTCGTCTCTCTTTTTTTTTCTTTCTTCATTCCATCCCTCCCTGATTTCCTTCCATTTTTTTCTTTTTCTTAGAATAAAGTCAAGTGTAATACAAAGGCTGTTAATTAGCACCAATCATGAAGTGCAAAAGTTAAAGCTTCAAAGTCTTATTCATGTTGCACATATGTAGTATTTAAAGCCAAGTGCCTTGAACTCCTTGGATACAGTGTGTGTTGGAATTGCTATTGATCTATTGTCTAGCAATCCCTCTGAGCTCTGAAACTTTATGTTTAAACATAGTGTGTTTTAGCATTGTTATAAGAAATACAACTTTTGGGCCAGGCACGGTGGCTCATGCTTGTAATTCCAGCACTTTAGGAGGCCGAGGTTGGTGGATCACCTGAGATCAGGAGTTTGAGACCAGCCTGGCCAACATGGCGAAACCCTGTCTCTACTGAAAATACAAAAATTAGCCAGGTGTAGTGGCGGGTGTCCGTAATCCTAGCTATTCGGGAGGCTGAGGCAGGAGAATCACTTGAACCTGGGAGGCGGAGGTAACAGTGAGCTGAGATCGTGCCACTGTACTCCAGCCAGGGCAACAAGAGTGAGACTCCATCTCAAAAAAAAAAAATATATATATATATATATATATAACTTTTATATTTCTTGATTTGGATGTTAAATATGTAAAGCTAATGATGCATTCCTGTATGTTTTATATTTCATGTCTAAGACAAAAGTTCCCCCTGTAAATTATGCCTTCAAGAAATCTAGTTTCTGTCTTTGGATACATGTCGTCTGTGAAACCTCGAGCTAGGATTTGTAACTTCTTCCCTGTCTGCCTCTGTCTGCTAAGCATGGACAGTAGTACCTATGCAACAGTGTGTGTGCTTAACCAAAATCCTCTTTTTTCCCCCATGAACATGGGCTATCTTTCTGTTTATGTTTTCAATTTCTTTGATCAACGTTTTGTAGCTTTTAGTCTACATATCTTTCATCTCCTAACCAAAATTCTTATATGAGAAGTCCCTCTAAAGTATAATGGTCAATTATTTTCATCACTTATTTTTATGTTTTTTTAGAGACAGAGTCTTGCTCTGTTGCCAGGCTGTATTGCAGTGGTGTTATCACAGTTCATTTTAACCTCCAACTCTTGGGCCCCAGCGATCCTCCCACTTCAGCCTCCTGAGTAGCTATGACAACAGGTATGCCACTATGCCTGGCTAGTTCTAAATTTTTTTTTTTTTTTTTTTTTGTAGAGACAGGGACTTGCCATGTTACCCAGGCTGGTCTTGAACTCTCGGCCTCAAGCAGTCCTCCTGCCTTGGCCTCCCAAAGTGCTGGGATTACAGGTCATCACTTATTTTTTAAGATTCATTTTGTACGTTGCCATTAGACCATAATTATTATTAATTTTTTCTTGTTGTCTTGGTTGGAGAAAAAAAAGTAAAAAAATCCCATGGTTACTACCATGAGCACATTTGAGTTGAATACATTCTGACCTTTTAGCTCATGTTCATCTCCTTTCACAGACCCCTTTTTACCCTTTCAACCTCATGGATACTCCAGAGCTGGCCTGGGACATTCTCATCTGTTGGCTTCCTCATGTTGCCCTTGAAAACAGACGCCTAGACTTATTAAAATCATTGTTGATTATCATGGCAGTGGCTGCCACTGTGGCTAATTGGAAAGGAAGTTATTGTGGTCATCAGAAATACTGAAGGAGAAGGGGATGAAAGTACAAGTGGCTGTGGCGACTTAGCTATGTTACTGATAGACTTGGCTGTTGTGACGAGGTGCAGAGGCTCCAGATGTCATCTCATAAGATTTGATCAAATGCTTTTTTTCTTCCTGTCTTCTGGAGGGTGGCTCACCTTGATTGCTTTCTCACTTTGTGCATTTTAGATTGAATCACTCCATCTCACTCTTGCACTCATTTTATATGAAATATAACCTAATTGGCCAGGCGCGGTGGCTCATGCTTGTAATCTCAGCACTTTGGGAGGCTAAGGCGGGTGGATCACCTGAGGTCAGGAGTTCGAGACCAGTCTGGTCAACGTGGTGAAACCCCGTCTCTACCAAAAATACAAAAATTAGCTGGACGTGGTGGTGCATGCCTGTAATCCCAGCTACTCGGGAGGCTGAGGCAGGAGAATTGCTTGAACACGGGAGGCAGAGGTTGCGGTGAGCTGAGATCGCACCATTGCATCCCACCTTGGGCGACAAGAGCGAAACTCCGTCTCAAAAAAAAAACCTAATTAAGAAGTATCATTGGATGTTCTCTATGTGAGGTAGTGTGTGCAGGAAATGTAAGATCTAGGAGATGGTCTGTAAGGGCTTTTGATTGAGTTGGTTAGATGATATACAAACTCAGCCAAAATTAAATAAGGTAAGTTGATGGTGTAAAATATGGTATAGGGTCATACCTTGCTATTGTATTGGTGGGAAAGATAAAACTATATATAATATAAAATTGTATCAGAATTTAGTATAAAATTCTAGATTTGCTGTACACTTGGAAAGGAGAAGCATAAAGGAGAAAAAGAGGGAGATGCAAAATGTTAGCTAAGGCAACTGAAAAACTTTTTCTGACTTTTACATCTTTTTAACAAAGATGTCATTATTTTATTTTTTTGAGACAGGGTCGCACTCTGTCACCCAGTCTGGAGTGTGGTGGTTCGGTCACGGCTCACTGCAGCCTTGACTTCTCAGGCTCAAGCAGTCCTCCCACCTAAGCCTCCTAAGTGGCTGGGACTACAGGTGTGCCACCATGTCTGGGTAATTTTTTATTTATTTTTTGTAGCCATGAGGCACTATAGCCTAGGCACTGTGTTGCCCAGGCTGATTCAAACTCCTGGGCTCTAGCGATCTTCCTGCCTCAACCTCCCAAAGTGCTAGGATTATAGGTGTGAGCCACTGCATCCGACAGTTATTTTAATGTTAAGCCTGGGAGGCCAAGGGAAGTGTTCCTTTGGCCTTGGGAGCTGACTCAGACTTTCCTCTATACTCCCTCCGCATCTCAGTTCCTTCCACTATTTACAGGATCTCCTGTGGCTCTCTTTGGCAATTAGTTGCAAGAGGTCTTATATATATTGAAATGAGATGGAATGTAAATACAGTATTTAAAAATATTTGTGGAAGAAATAATTGAAGTTCTGTAGTGACAGGGCCACACTAGGGAGCAGAGAATGCATAGAGGGATTTTGAACCTTTGTACCTTACTTTAGGAACAGTGTTATTGATGGCAGGTGGGCAGCTGAGAGAGTTAGAGGAGATTTTGTTGGCTTTTAAATATATCTCTAGACTTCTGAAGGCAGCAGTTCTTCTATTCTCATGTATGGTTTGGCTGGTAAATTTTAAGGTATGACCGCTTCTATTGTGTGAATGTCTGAAAGAACTGTAGAATCCAAGACTGACCACTGAGGAATATGTGTTGATCAAAACCATTTGAGCTGTAAGCCCAGGGATTTTGAAGGGTGGATGTCTGGGTGTGTTAAGACCAGGTAGAGGAGAATGCTTATTAGTTTCCTAAGTCTCATATTATCAGAGCCCATTAAATCAATATTAGTTTGTATCAAATGCCAGTAAATCCCTATTCTTCCCTTACCTATCAAACTCTGAGAAGTTCTTTCTTAGGAAAGGTACCTGCTCTTCATTTTACCACAGTATCTGGACTTGTGGTGTCAGTCACCATTTTCTTCAGGACCTCAGGATTGATGTGTGGAGATCTACATCTTTTTGGCTGATAGGAAAGGGGATTAGACATCCTAAGGCTGGTTGCCCTCTAGCTGTGCAAATAAACACTCTTCTGACATTTCTTCCTTAATCAACAAAGCATTTATAATATTATCGTGTAAGGAACCATAGAGCAACCTCTCTTTCCTTGGGGCTATTTCTCTGCTAGATCTCAGCAGCCTCATATTTCCTGGTGACTTTTTTTTCTCTTTTTAAGAGCTTTATTCAAGTCAAAGGTGTCTTGCCTTTACAGTTGCCTTTACAGCTTTTTTTTTTCTTTTTTTTTTTTTTGAGACAGAGTCTTGCTCTTGCTCTGTTGCCTAGGCTGGAGTGTAGTGGCACAATCTCAGCTCACTGCAACCTCCACCTACCAGGCTCAGGTGATTCTCATGCCTCAGCCTCCTGAGTAGCTGGGATTACAGGCACTTGCCACCATGCCTGGCTGATTTTAATAGAGATGGGGTTTCGCCATGTTGGCCAGGCTGGTCTTGAACTCCTGGCTTCAAGTGACCCAACCACCTTGGCCTCTCAAAGTGCTGGGATTACAGATATAAGCCACCGTGCCCAGCCTTACAGATATTTTTTTTAAGATAATTCTTTCCTCACCTGTTGGATTCTTGTTTATCCTGTACCGTGGGAGACATATGGGTGAGGGGAATGGTATCCCCCATAGTAGATTGGATAATGATCTCAGGAGGTTTTTATTGGTGAATCAATTATTATTTTCTTTGTTAGAAGAAGAATCTTTAGTAAGAAGGGAGAAGAAACTTTTCATTTGGGAGAGAAAATAAAAACAAGCTTTGCTGAGGCCAGAATGGGATCATGTGTAATAAACTATGAATTCATCCTCTTTTTCCTCCTTCCCTCCTAGTTGCAGTTGATCTCACAACAGCTGTTTCCAGCTGTCCTCTGGATTTTGCCCAGGCCCCTTGGGATGGCTGCAGTGACTCACACAGCTGGGCTTTTTTCCATAATCGTCTGAATCTAGCTCCTCAAGAAGCAGGAGGAGGAGGAGGAAAAGGGTGACTTGGTTGCACTGGAAGAGATTTTCTTGTTGGTGTATTAGTCCGTTCTCACACTGCTGTAAAGAACTACCTGAGACTGGGTAATTTATGAAGAAAAGAGATTTAATTGACTCACAGTTCCAAAGCCTTAACAGGAGGCATGACTGGGAGGCCTCAGGAAACTTACAATCATGGCAGAAGGGGAAGCAAGCACATCTTAACCATGGTGGAGCAGGAGAGAGAGAGAGTGTGAAGGGGGAGGTGCCACATGCTTTTAAACGATCACTCGAGAACTCACTCATCCTGAGAACATCAAGGGGGATGTCTGTCCCCATGATTCAGTTACCTCCCACCAGGCCCCTCCTCTGACACGTGGGGATTACAATTTGAGATGAGATTTTGTGGGGGACACAGAGCCAAACCGTATCAGTTGGATCACTGTCTCCCGGCAGGCTCTGGGTTTGGTTTATTCTTGAAAGCTATGATCCTAGGAGATAACATTGCCGGCGGAGAGGAGGCAAATGTGTTAAATGGGGAAGGTTTTTGTGTTTGGAGAAAGGCAAATGTTCTTTCACTCAGTGTTTTTCCCCATTTATTTCCTTCCAAACCTTCTTATTCGGAACAAACTGCATCTTTCCATTTCAAATGGATGTAGCCTGTGTATGAGATGAATGGGTGACTGAATGCTGAGGGGAATATCACGTAAAAAGGTAGATGATGTTCTCTATACTCTGATGATTGGTTTTGATGTTTTGTAGGAAGTATTAGTTTCTTTTCAGTTCTTCAAAGTAGTTGTTCCTCTTTCTAACAGTAAGCACTGTCCTTTCCCTCTTTCTTTTCTTTCATGAAGGCTGTCCTTTCCCAGCTTGGGACCTGCTCAAATGAGATATCTCAGTAAAGACAATAAAAAGGATCCTTTAGTTATCTAAAACATTCTTTACTTTTGCCTCCCTGGGCTCTACACTCATGTTTCTGAAGGGGTAACAGGCTGTAGAAGAAATCCTCTAGACTTGCTGTGTAATATGGTAATACGGTAGCCACATGTGGCTATAGAGCTGCACTCTCAGGCCGGGTGCAGTGGCTCATGCCTGTAATCCCAGCACTTTGAGAGGCTGAGGTGGGAGGATCGCTTGGGCAACAAAGTGAGACCCGCATCTCTGTTCTTATATGAAATTATAATAAAAAATAAAAAAGCTAGGCATGGTACCTCACGCTTGTAATTCCAGCACTTTGGGAGGCCGAAGTGGGAGGATCACTTGAACCCAAGAGTTTGAGACCAGCTTGGGCAACATAGAGAGACCCCATTTCTACAAAAAATTAAAAAATTAACTGGGTATGGTGACACAGGCTTGTGGTCCCAGCTACTTGGGAAGCTGAGGTGGGAGGATCATTTGAGCCTGGAAAGTCAAGGCTACAGTGAGCGATGATCGTGCTGCTGTACTCTGGCCTGAGTGACACAGTGAGACCCTATCTCAAAAAATAAATAAATAAATAAATAAATAAATAAATAAAATGAATAAATAAAAGGATGCACTCAATGTAAAATACTATACACTAGATTTAGAAGAATTAGTACAAAAAAGAATGTAAGATACTATGTTGAGATTTTTAAAATATTGAGTATGTTTTAAAATCAACATGTTGAAATGCTAATATTTTAACTGTGTTGGATTCAATAAAATATATTCTTAAAATTAGTTTCACCTTTTTTTTTTTACCATTTTTAATATGGCTACTACAAAATTTTAAATTACATAATGGCATATATTTCTGGCTCTCATTATATTCCTATTAGCTTGCTCAAACTAGAAGGGGAAGTTACTACAATACTGGTGTGCTTCTTTCTGGTAGTCCTTGTTTTCAGAACTTTGGAGGGACCTTTAATGATTTTTTTGTTTGTTTTTTTGTTTTTCGAGACAGTCTCGTTCTGTCTCCCAGGCTGGAGTGCAGTGGCGCAATCTTGGCTCCCTGCAACCTTTGCCTCCTGGGTTCAGGTGATTCTCCTGCCTCAGCCTCCTGAGTAACTGGGATTACGGGTGCCTGCCACAGCACCTGGCTAAATTTTGTATTTTTAGTAGAGAAGGGGTTTTACCATGTTGGCCAGGCTGGTCTTAAACTCCTGACCTTAAGTGATCTATCTGCCTCGACCTCCCATAATGGCAGTTTGGGATTCATAACACAGTGCACTACAACATACCCTCCCTATTAGTTATTTCTCGCTGTGTAACAAATTAGCCCTACACTTACTGGCTTCAAACAACAAACACTTATTATCTCATAGTTTCTGTAGGTCAGAAATTTGAGACAACTTAGCTGTGTAGTTCTGTCCCAGGATCTCTCATGAGGTTTCAGTCAAGCTTTTGACTGGGCTGCATTTATCTGAAGGCTTGACTGAGGCAGGAGGATCTACTTAAATTTTTGCTTTATGCTGTTAGAAGCAAGTCTAGCTCCTCTTAAGGGGAGGAAAAGCAGGACCTACCTTTTGAATGGAGTAGTATCAAATACTTTGTGAGCATATTTTAAAACCATTACATCCACCTTTATTTTCTGCTATTTTCCCCTGTTAACATACCTGTGTTTTAATAACTGCCTCTGATGATGGTCAGAGTCCAGTGGCTAAAGTTCATTTTACCCTCAGCTGCTATTTCAGTATTACTTGGAACAATTCGATTCATTTTGATGATGCAAACTCTGACCTGTAATCAAAATGGTCCTTTTGAGGCGCAAAGGTGAATTTAGCTTTGCTTGGGCTTTTAACACTTGTATATGCATCTGTTTATGTCCTTTCTGTCTTATGTGTTCCTTAGTTGATTCTTAGTAGTGGAATAAAGCTGTTTGGACATTACATGGTAAATATGTTAAAACCAGTATTGTATTATGTTTTTGTATGTTATGTTTTGCTTGAGATTCAGAGCACTTAATAACCATTCTGTATCTCATCCTACCTCTGAGAAGTTTGAAAGTAAAGCAAGGTATCCTGTTTTCTGCCTCCAAGTAGGGAAAGGGAGGGGAGTTCATTTACATACGAGGCTGAGTGGAAGATGTGAGGGAATTCAGAGTTGTAAGGCAGAGACATAGATGTTTCCAGGAGTGGGTTCATCCTTACTAACCTTCATCTTGTAGCTGTTTTGTTTTTGGCTTAGCTTCGAACTTCTGAAGTTTATACTGAAGCAAGAGGCAAGACGTATTGGATAAATGACCCAGGAGACATAATCAGTAAAGGTAAATTTCCATCTGCTTTGGGTCAAAATGGAGCTTTTTTATAAGGAAACTAGGTATCATAATGGGAAGTGGTTGGGTTATGAGAGGGTTCAAGAATCAAGAGAATAAGTATTCAGTTAAAACCATTTGATTTCATTTTTTTTCTGGTGTTTTAGTAAGCTTTAATCAGGTATTTCCTAAGGAATTTAAAATTATCTCTTAAGTTTGAGAAGTCTGCCGGGCTAGATGAATGGATTGTTAGTTTGTTGCCTTGGACAGAGACTTAAAGAACTCTTGAATCTACATTCTGTTATCTTCTGTATCCTTGTCATCTTTGTCATTAGTTGAATACTTAAACATAGTTTCGAATTGTTACTTGTGTGTGTGTGTATGTGTATGTGTGTGTGTGGTTATCTGTTGTCTCTCTAAGCAGAGTTAATTTTCTTGAGGACCATGCCTTTTATTTCTTTGCGTTCCCTCTGCTAGTAATGATACTTTGAGTTGTATATTTCAGAGGATATATCTTAAGCATATTGGCAACATCCGCTGGTGTGGCAAGGTAAGAGTCAAGTGGAGCTCAGTGGTTAAGAGTTTGGGGTTTAGAGTCCTATTGACTTTGCTGTTTAATAGATTTATTACCTTAGGCAAGTTTCTCAATTTCTCTGAGGCTCAGTTCCTTCATCTGTAAAATGTTAATAATAGTTTCTACCTCACAGAGTTGTGAGAACTAATGAGATATTGCAAGTAAAGCACTTAGCCACAGGAGTGGTTACATATATTAGGTGTGTAAAAAAGTAATTGTTTGATTTGTTAATTTTTATTTTTGATTAGAGGTATCCAAGTTCTTGAATCTTGAGGCCTCATTTTTATTAGTTCATCAGTCATTATCGGAGGTGCCAGAAACCTGAATCTGGTGCCCGTTCTTGTCAGCCTGAGTCGGTCCACATCATAAGTAACTTCATTCAGAGAGTTTTCTTGTTTGCTTTGGCAAAATAGATATTTTAGGCCGTGGTTTCTTCCTTGCAGAATCTCAGGGTTCTTCCTCTCTCCAGTGACCAGAGCTGCCATTGTTTTCAATGTTTGGTAGGTGACATGGTATTTGGATTACCCTGTTCTCCTCTGCTCTTCTGACTGTGACTCCTAAAAGCTCACTTAAACCTGGCTGATGCTGACTCCTGTCCAAAGGCCCAAGTCCTCCTGCCTCCCTCCAATTTTCTGTTAAGGAATTCTTTGGACTAATTTTTTTTATCTTTTAAAGAAACCTTGCAATACCCAAACAGACCATTCTTTCAACTCTGCACTCCTTGGTCAGCATCCAGAATGTAAATACTTGTGGCCATCTGTATATTCCTCTGTTGTCAGGCCTAACTGACTTTATACTTTTTCTCTTCCATTCCGATCTTCCGGTGGCTCCTCATAGACTGTCCCATTTTTTCCTGTTGCACAGTGAGCAAACTTCCTTCATCTTCAGCCTCTTAACTGCATGTTATTTTTACTCCTTTCTCTTAACTAAATTTGTTTTCTTTCTCAGGACTTTACATCCTCTATCTCCCTTCTAGTGGGTGGGTTTTTTGTTTTTTGTTTTTGTAATTTTTAAAATTTAGAGATGGGGTCTCTCTGTGTTGCCCAGGCTGGTCTCAAACTCCCAAGCTCAAGTGATCCCCCTGCCTCAGCCTCCCAAGCAGCTGGGACTACAGGTGTGCAACACCATGCTTGGCTTAGTGGGTGTTTCGGTGTTCCTTGTTCTCCTGTATTACAGAGATTAGTATTCTGTTGTTCTCTCTCTCCCCTCTCCAATGCTTACATAAAATCCTATACCCTTGGGTGAAATTCCCTGTTCCTTAAAAGCTCGTGTAATCTGGCTAGTCTAACCTTTTCCCTTATGCAGTACTGTCATTTATTGTTTTGTCCCTCCCTCATTTAAAAAATGAACAAAAACTTGTAGCTCTTGGATTGTGGGCTTTCTTCTTACCTTAAGTATTGCTATTGTCTTAAGAGACTCCAGTGTCTGTGTGGAAGACTGATCCAGCACCTTAGCTAGTCTTATGTCTGGTTCTCTAATTAATCTGTTTCATTGCCTTTCTTCTCTTTCACCAACTATTCTAAGGCCACATTTTGGGGTTAGTCAATTTAGAACTGCTTAATTTCTGAAAATTTAAAGACAAGCGTCTCATTTTCTCATTAAGACTCTTCAGTTCTCTCATTTAATTACCCCCACTGCCTCTTTTCTCCAATGTCATTGAGAAAGCCAGTGCATTGGCCCTCTCTGTATTCTCTCCCTTTTTGTTAACTCCCCTGTCTTTGCTCCCTTCCCTGTCTTGTTTCGACTTTGTCGTCCTTCTCTTAAACAGCTCTTTGGCCAATATCCTCTCTTTATTTTCATTTTTCATTGTATTTTTCCTACCTGGCAAAACTCAGTACAGCTCTCTGCCTTCCTAATATCCAACCTTTCCTAGACCCTTGACTCCTGCCTGGTAGTATTTCTGTGTGTGTTTTTTGTTTTTGTTTTTGTTTTTAGACAGAGTCTCACTCTGTCACCAGGCTGGAGTGCAGTGGCACGATCTCTGCTCACTGCAACCTCTGCCTCCTGAGTTGAAGCGATTCTTCTGCCTCAGCCTCCTGAGTAGCTGGAATTACAGGTGTGTGCTACCATGCCCAGCTGATTTTTTGTATTTTTAGTAGAGTTGGGGTTTCACCATGTTGGCCAGGCTGGTCTCGAACTCCTGACCTCCAGTGATCCATCCACCTTGGCCTCCCAAACTGCTGGGATTGTAGGTGTGAGCCACCGCACATGGCCAGTATTTCTGTTTTTAAGTGACCTCTTGGGGATTTGCCACAGTGGCTGTTTAAACATCCCTCATTGTCCTACATTTCCTTTCCTTTTGCTTCCCTTCACTTAATCTTGCCTCTTAATTTATAGAAACCCTCAGATTGGAGCTCCTTTACCTTCGTGCCACCAAATTTGAGTGCCACTTTTCGTCCTTTCTGTAGTGAGTTCTACTTGGATTTTTCCCAAGATTTTAAATCTGCCCTTCTATATCTTTTTTTCATCAACTTTAAACAAAATAAATAAATAAAATCTAGCACATTTAGTTATCTTTACCCTCCATCTGCTTTTCACTCTCCTCCCTTCTACAAGCCACCTTCTTAAAATAGTTGTCTGTGCCCTTTGAGCCCATTGCAGTTCTGGTTTTCTCTTTAACCACAACATTGAAACTCTTTTCTCCAAAATCACCATTAACCCCCTTGCGACTACATCCAATGAATATTCCTTTGTGTCATCTTTGTCCTTGGAATGCCGCTCTTCCCCTGGCTTCTCTTGTACCATGCTTTTTAGAATTTCTCCCTCTGTCTGCCAGTGCATTTTTGTTATCCCTTCCTCAGCCCACCACTTAAAAATTGGTGCTTGAAATGATTCTATTCTAGGTCTTTTTCTTTTTAATTCTTTTAAGTTATATATATTTCTCCTTGGGCAAGCTCATCTATTGCTAAGGCTTTATTTATCATCTATATGCTGACAACTTCCAAATTGCTGTCTGTAGCCTAGATCTCTTTCCTGCACTTAGGATGTCTGTATCCACCTGCTCAGTGTGCATCTGTGCTTGGATACCCCATAGTTAACTGCAAACACAACATCTAAAACTGATTCCTCCTTATCTGCTCTTTTTAAGAAGAGATGGAGTTTTGCCATGTTGGCAAGGCTGGTCTTGAACTCATAACGTCAGGTGATCTGCCCGCCTCGGTCTCCCAAGATGCTGGGATTACAGGCATGAGCCACTATGCCCAGCCCTTATCTGGAATTTCTGCAAAATTCTGTCCTTGTGTAACTCAGCAACCAGTGCCACCATTTACCCAGCTGCTGAAGCTACTGTTATAGCCTCTTAAATGGTCCTTCTGTCTTTAATTTCGTCCCTCCCATCCCACATCATTGCGTTGCAGTAATTTTTTTCAGAGTGATCCTTCTGAAACAACTCTGATCATCTCACTGTCCTTTAGTCCCACTAAAAGACTTTGGTGATCTGGCTCCTACCTCATCTCCCACCCCTTGACCCGCTCATGCATATACCATGCAGCTTCACTTCATTCCCTCTATAACATGTCTCCTTCTACCCTTTATGGCACTAACCCTTACCTTTGAGATCTCGGTTTATTGGTCTTAATAAACCTTTGGGAATCTTTTACTGAATTTCTAAGATAGGGTTAGGAACTCTCTTGACTGCTTTCATAGCACCTTGTACTTTTCCCTATTTAGGATTTATTTCACTGTATTATAAGAGCCTATTTCCTTTGAGCTCCTGCCAAACTGTAAGCTCTTCGAGGGTAGGGACTCTGTTTTAATCTTTATTTTTTCTTTTTAAATTCCCAGTATGTAGCACAGTACGTGATTTATAGTAAGCTTAGTATTTATTGCCATTTAATGGTTGTATGGATTATAGGATTTTAGAACTGAAAGAACCTTATCTGTATGGAATATAGATCCTAGATTTGCAGGGTGAATGATCGCTGTGCGGTTCTTTTGCTAGAGATAATCATTTCAAACAAAGTCATGTTCAAAGGCCAAGGTGGCCCCCCTTTAGGGTTTTACCTCTGGCTTTCACTGGTTAAGTAGCTCTAGTTAGTTTGTTTCAAGGCTTAATTAGACCAGTGTTTCTTAATCTTGGCTGCCTGTTAGCATCCTCTGGGGAGCTTTAAGAAAAATACTGTTGCCCCAACCTCACCAAATAATTTACAGAATAAGTTTTATTCTTCTTCCGGGAAGTTTGTCATCCATTTTCCAACTTGCTAAAGTTGATCAACAGTGGCTTTATTGTTCTTTGACAAAAGAAAAGGCATATCAGACTTTGTATTATCTCATTTTTAGATGCACCAGTCAGTAAGCATTTGGCAGTTGGGGGCCCCCATCTGTGACCATTGGGAGCTTGCCTTATGAACCCTTAGATCCTGATCTGTGACATAGAATGTGAGCAGAAAGTTCCATCTGGTGTGATTGCTGCCTCCTCTCATGGGTTCTCTGGTTTGAGTCACTGCTGTTGTATCACACGCTTCTTTATGACAGGCTGACAGATTAATTCCCTAGAGGCTGACCTGATGTAAATAGGAAAATTTGCTTATTATCAGTAGAAGGAGCAGGTTATTTAATTACTATTCAATTTTAGTGCTATTTATTTTTTGCTTTTAGGACTGAAACATCTCCTGTTCAGCCATTTGAATTTTGAAAAGTTGTTAGTTGCTTTTGATAACTTTGAGGAATCAGATTAATTTTTAAAATGGTTTTTAAATGTATGAGCTCATGCTAAGTGCATTTGTTTGTGGTAGTAATTGCTTTCTGAAATCTGTTTTCTGCAACTCAGAATAGTATAATATTTAGAACTTGGTCACTGTTTTTAGAAGGAATTCTGAAGGAATTGTAAAGAACAGCCTAAATTTGTTCTTATCCCTTGGTTTTTCTACAAACACAATTTTAGTATTGTGGCATTCAGAAGTTAATGCATTCTTGGTATGTTGTTTACAAGTAATATTTTACAAATGTAAGACTGAAATATTTGCATCAGCGAGTATTGTGGCTTTGAGAGATTTAAATGCTGTATGATTACAAATATTTTATTCTTGTCACTAAAAAACAAAAATGGAAGATAAAACACCAAACCTATCATAAAGATACATGAAAACAGTTTGGACTGTTTACCTTTCTTTTTCTTCCCTAGGTCATTTATGTAACAGTCTTAAAAAAAAAAAAAAGAGATCTTTATACAAAACTCTATTTTCCAGTGAAGTAAGAGTTTATGGTGACTGAGTAATGCTTGGTATAGATCTGGATCTGTTTTCAGAATTGGCTGGTGTCTAAAAATCATGAGGAACTTAGGTGAAGCAGTTGATGAATAGTCCATAAGTCCACAGTCATCATTGCTAGCTTGAAGATAGTTAATGTTGATAACTTTCTTAAACACTGGGGTGAAAGGGTAAGGATTGGGAATACGTCTATACATTTAGCTATTCTGGCTGATACTTCTTTCTTTTGCCTTTTCCATTATCTCATTTACTTTGGGCTTGTTAATCCAGTGGAGGCCTTCTTAAAGGGGGTGGGCATAAATAAAATATGCATGTTCTTTTTCCTTTGCTAAGGACAGTATGAAAACATTGTCTGCTTTCAAGTTTGGTCTTTTATGATGAACTGGCTCTCAGAAAAATAACTTGACTTCTTTTTGAGGTGCACGTTTTTCATTTCTTCCTTCTCCCACCTCCACAGCAGGCACAGTGAGCTTTCCATTCAGACAGTGAGCTTGTGTTGCCTTTTAGCCCAGGGAGCTCAGCCCACAAACCATGGGTCTCAGTTTGTGCTTGACAGGACTTTGTTAAGTGAATCAGGGAGTCTGAATTATTCATTCTCCTTCCTCATCCTGCTGTTCATATCAAATTCCTGCTGTGTCTTTGGGGCATCTTGCCAGTCTTCAGCATAATTGATTTCCTTGCTTTGTGCTATGTGGGGTGTCTGTGTCTGTGTGTGCACATGGGTTGTGCCTCTATTTAAGCATACCTGATTGCCTATAATAGTGGTATTTATTAAGCTCGTGTGGGCAGAAGCACAACAGTTCAGCCCAAGATTACTAAAAATATAGCGGACTGGCTGCTTTTATAATCTGAGGGAGAGGTTAGAATTGGTCTTTTCATTATCCAGGCTGCATTTTGCATTTTCTTTCTGAGCAACAAGGGTTTGCTGCCTGAGGAATTATGAGGAAGACTCTATCTATCTATCTATCTATCTATCTATCTATCTATCTATCTATCTATCTATCCATCTATCTATCTATCTATCTAGAGATGGAGTCTTTCCTGCTTTGTTGCCCAGGCTGGCCTTGAACTTCTGGGCTCCAGTGATCCTCCCACCTTCTGTGATCTGATTGGAACACTTGTGAAGGAGACTGTCCTTTTCTCTTTCTATTCTTTGACCCCGTTGTCTCCTCTTTAACTGTTTTTCTTTGAGAAGATATTTCATTTAGAGCCATAGACTGTTAGAATTAGGGAGGACTTAAAGATTATCTAGTCAAGAGGTTGCAAACTATAGGCCTTTGGTGTGGCTCCCACACATGGGATTTTGTTTGGATAACACAGTATTTTAAAGGCCTTTGGATTTAACATTTAAACATTGGGAAAGCTCACATGAAACCCAGATTTGTGGCTTCACTTGGCAGCACGGGGCCCACATTCCTACATCTGACAATCTGCAGGAGCTAAATAGTGGCTGTTCTCTTTTGGAATGACCCGTTTGCTTCAGTATTGCACAGTCTCTACCTGTGCACTTCACTCTTTACCTCTGGTGAGTGTTACAATCCCGGTCTAATCCAGTCTACCCATTTTACAGAAGAGAGGAAGAGATTTGCTGAAAACCTAGTAGGTAGTTGGAACAACTTAGGGTTTGTGTCTCTTGACTTTTAGTTGATTACGATTATTTCTACTAGTATTTTACTTTTGCCTTTCTTACTCTTTTTTTGTTGTTCATTCAAAATATTCATTGTGTCTGTAGCAAGAGTCAATTCTGAGAGTGTGAAAAGGAATGTGATAAAGTCTCCTTTCTTGATTTGGTCTTGAGGGACCAAATGAGTCTACTTTGGAACAGCCACCATCCACCATTACTGTGTCACATTATGTTGTCATCTTTTCTTCGCATCATCTGGAATTTTAAAAATTTGTCTCCTTGTTTACTGGCTGTCTTCCCAAGTACTTGAGTGTAAGCACTGTGAAGCCAGTGACTGTGTCTCATTTAATGTTGTATCTCCATTGCCTGTCACTTAGTGAATTCTCGGTATTTGTTGAATGAATGACTAAAGGAGGCATTTGAACTCAGCTTTGAAAGATGAATAGGAATTTTCTATGCAGACTGGGTAAGGGTGTTCCAGACATAGATACTGGGGTGAGCAGAGTCATGGAGACATGAAAATACATAGTATATTCTTGTGCTTCTTTCGGGCTGGGTTTGTTCATGTGCCACAAAAAGCTATTTTTGATACAGAAAGACCATCTGGATTTGAAGGACTCTAGATCTTTGGTTAAAAAAAAATTGAGAAACTAAATGTGTTTCTGAGCCAACTTCAGTATAGCTTTTTCCCCTCTGTAAGTCTTTTAGCCAGATGCTGGGCATTCATTATCATTAATGATTTATAGACCTTTACCAACATATTTACCACAGTTTTATTATATAACAGATGTGAAACAAGGGTATGGTTCCAATGTGCCTTCAGTCTAGCAACACACTCTGCCTTGTGCAAAGCAGTCTAATATTTTGCAAGTCCAGAACAACTGGCAGTATGTAGTTATTTTTAGAGTATATAATGGACTAAGTGGTGAGTTTCTGAGGGCATAGGGCAGAGGTTCTCAATATTAGCCAACTGTGCGTTAGAATCACCTGGGAAGCTTTTAAACATTTCAGTGCTTAGGCCATACCCTACCCAGACCAATTAAATCAGGAACTCTGGGGGCAGGACCCAGGAATCAGGTTTGTTTTTTTAAACATCTTCAGATGATGCTAGTATGCAGTAAGGTTGAGAACCATTGGCCTAGGGGGACACAAACAAGGGAAGGAGACAGATTTTTGAAGCTTGTTGTAAGTTGTTGAGGTATAAGGAGGGATCCCCAAGAGGTCAGTCATTAAGAAGATTAGGTAATTGAAGAGAATTATTAAAAAAATTATCTGAGTGGAAGAGGAGAGCTATTTTAGGGAATCAGTTTAGAAATGTATGATTTTTAGAGCAGTTGAACATACAGAGATTGGAAATCTTACAGATGGTGTCAGAGATAAACAGAGTGTGCCTGGTCGTTGAGGAGGAAGAGAGCTTGGATTCCAAATTATTCATCGACTCTAGCTTTCTAGTCACATGTAATGAGAAAACATTGTACTTGAAGTAAAATGGTCATGGGTCATAGTTCTAGATTCCCACTAATTAGTTGTGTTCATTTAGTTCAGTTAACCAACCATTTATCAAGTGCCGAACACTGTTGGACACTGGAGACAAATTAGATACAGGTCTTGCCATCCAGGATTTGATGATCTAGGAAATTTTTTTGTGTAGCCGTAGTTAAGCAGTTATTAACATCTCTGGGTCATTCTCCATTTGCAAAATGTGGTGATATGATGTTATTTCTGAGATTGCTTTTAGCTCTAACATCTTACCACAGTGATTCAAAGTAAAATCTAATAAGAATCAGCATCTCCTAAAAGTAATTATTATAGTTTTCTTCAATAGAAAAAAAAATCCAGGTAAAAAAATGGCCAAGGGGTCTAAACTGAGACAATCTTAGAAACTTACTATATCCCTTTCCTGTCTTACTTTTCTATCAGGTTCTGTTTGATTTTGACAACTATAGTTAATAAGGAAGGTTCAAGAGCAGATGCCCCTGGTAGGGGGCGGGTAGTAGCTGGTGGATTAGAGCTAAAGTAGAGCTGGTAAAAGCCTCCTGGTTGCAGAGCTGAGGGCAGATTGGGCAGGTGCACTACTAAGGTATGGTTTTGAGATCTACTATTTCCAGCACCTTGTTGAAAAGTTGATAGCTACATTCATCACCCAGGTGAAGTCTACCATAATGAGGAAAAAATTGCTTATCTTGCCAGCAGCCCTCAGGATAAACTTAGGAGAACTGGGGAGATTTGTTTTTCTGATGATTCTTGGATTTTGTAGTGCAGTCATTGTTTGCTTTGCTGCCTTGTAGGGGAGGAAGGGAAGAGGCTAAGGGGAGAGGGTGGGTGAAACAGCTGTCAAAGAAAGAGGAGTCCTGAAAAGCTATTTGTGTTTGGGAGCTGGAGCTCAATGGTAGGGCTGTGGTAGTTTTGTAGGCCACACTCTCTTGTTGCTGTTTTGCTTTTGGGACATAACACTAATAAATAGGATTAGTGGTTTTTTTTTTTTTTAAACGATACCCTTAGCTTGTTAGAGTTAAAACAGCTTTTGTTCTAAAACACTCTATCAGAGACTATTAAAGAATGATTTTTCTTATATAACTGTTGCACTCAACATGTTCCATTGTAGGGACTGTAGCATGGTTTCTATTCAGATATCCTGGACCCTCAGACCTCAAATTACCGTCCAACCATTTCCTTTTCTCCTACCCACTTCCCTGTTCATTCTGCAGTTCTTGTAATCACCCCAGCAAATGTTTATTTAGCGCCCGTATGCCCTGTACCATGCTGGCTGTTGAGGATGTGGAGGGAGGCAGAGAGAGAGAGACAGTCCATGACCTCAGGGGCTCCCAGTGTAGTAGGGAGACTGGTACCAACAAGACCTATAATGTGGTAAGTGCATTAAGAGAATTGAGTAAATGGGGAGATGGGGGGAGGAGGGTCTAAACTAGCTGGGACCGGTGGAAGTCAGGGAAAGGGACCTGGGGGATGTAACAGGAGCTATCCTTCTGTGTT